>NC_000006.12:98555638-98707153 GCF_000001405.40 Homo sapiens | reverse complement strand
CATGTCGTCTGCAAACAGGGACAATTTGACTTCCTCTTTTCCTAATTGAATACCCTTTATTTCCTTCTCCTGCCTAATTGCCCTGTCCAGAACTTCCAACACTATGTTGAATAGGAGTGGTGAGAGAGGGCATCCCTGTCTTGTGCCAGTTTTCAAAGGGAATGCTTCCAGTTTTTGCCCATTCAGTATGATATTGGCTGTGGGTTTGTCATAGATAGCTCTTATTATTTTGATATACGTCCCATCAATACCTAATTTATTGAGAGTTTTTAGCATGAAGTGTTGTTGAATTTTGTCAAAGGCTTTTTCTGCATCTATTGAGATAATCATGTGGTTTTTGTCTTTGGCTCTGTTTATATGCTGGATTACATTTATTGATTTGCGTATATTGAACCAGCCTTGCATCCCAGGGATGAAGCCCACTTGATCATGGTGGATAAGCTTTTTGATGTGCTGCTGGATTCGTTTTGCCAGTATTTTATTGAGGATTTTTGCATCAATGTTTATCAAGGATATTGGTCTAAAATTCTCTTTTTTTGTTGTGTCTCTGCCTGGCTTTGGTATCAGAATGATGCTGGCCTCATAAAATGAGTCAGGGAGGATTCCCTCTTTTTCTATTGATTGGAATAGTTTCAGAAGGAATGGTACCAGTTCCTCCTTGTACCTCTGGTAGAATTCGGCTGTGAATCCATCTGGTCCTGGACTCTTTTTGGTTGGTAAACTATTGATTATTGCCACAATTTCAGATCCTGTTATTGGTCTATTCAGAGATTCAACTTCTTCCTGGTTTAGTCTTGGGAGAGTGTATGTGTCAAGGAATTTATCCATTTCTTCTAGATTTTCTAGTTTATTTGTGTAGAGGTGTTTGTAGTATTCTCTGATGGTAGTTTGTATTTCTGTGGGATCGGTGGTGATATCCCCTTTGTCATTTTTTATTGCGTCTATTTGATTCTTCTCTCTTTTTTTCTTTATTAGTCTTGCTAGCGGTCTATCAATTTTGTTGATCCTTTCAAAAAACCAGCTCCTGGATTCATTAATTTTTTTGAAGGGTTTTTTGTGTCTCTATTTCCTTCAGTTCTGCTCTGATTTTAGTTATTTCTTGCCTTCTGCTAGCTTTTGAATGTGTTTGCTCTTGCTTTTCTAGTTCTTTTAATTGTGATGTTAGGGTGTCAATTTTGGATCTTTCCTGCTTTCTCTTGTGGGCATTTAGTGCTATAAATTTCCCTCTACACACTGCTTTGAATGCGTCCCAGAGATTCTGGTATGTTGTGTCTTTGTTCTCATTGGTTTCAAAGAACATCTTTATTTCTGCCTTCATTTCGTTATGTACCCAGTAGTCATTCAGGAGCAGGTTGTTCAGTTTCCATGTAGTTGAGCGGTTTTCAGTGAGATTCTTAATCCTGAGTTCTAGTTTGATTGCACTGTGGTCTGAGAGATAGTTTGTTATAATCTCTGTTCTTTTACATTTGCTGAGGAGAGCTTTACTTCCAAGTATGTGGTCAATTTTGGAATAGGTGTGGTGTGGTGCTGAAAAAAATGTATATTCTGTTGATTCGGGGTGGAGAGTCCTGTAGATGCCTATTAGGTCTGCTTGGTGCAGAGCGGAGTTCAATTCCTGGGGATCCTTATTGATTTTCTGTCTTGTTGATCTGTCTAATGTTGACAGTGGGGTGTTAAAGTCTCCCATTATTAATGTGTGGGATTCTAAGTCTCTGTAGGTCACTGAGGACTTGCTTTATGAATCTGGGTGCTCTTGTATTGTGTGCATATATATTTAGGATAGTTAGCTCTTCTTGTTGAATTGATCCCTTTACCATTATGTAATGGCCTTCTTTGTCTCTTTTGATCTTTGTTGGTTTAAAGTCTGTTTTATCAGAGACTAGGATTGCAACCCCTGCCTTTTTTTTGTTTTCCATTTCCTTGGTAGATCTTCCTCCATCCTTTTATTTTGAGCCTATGTGTGTCTCTGCACATGAGATGGGTTTCCTGAATACAACACACTGATGGGTCTTGACTCTTTATCCAATTTGCCTTTCTGTGTCTTTTAATTGGAGCATTTAGTCCATTTACATTTAAAGTTAATATTGTTATGTGTGAATTTGATCCTGTCATTATGATGTTAGCTGGTGATTTTGCTCGTTAGTTGATGCAGTTTCTTCCTATTCTCGATGGTCTTTACATTTTGGCATGATTTTGCAGCGGCTGGTACTGGTTGTTCCTTTCCATGTTTAGTGCTTCCTTCAGGAGCTCTTTTAGGGCAGGCCTGGTGGTGACAAAATCTCTCAGCATTTGCTTGTCTGTAAAGTATTTTATTGCTCCTTCACTTATGAAGCTTAGTTTGGCTGGATATGAAATTCTGGGTTGAAAATTCTTTTCTTTAAGAATGTTGAATATTGGCCCCCACTCTCTTCTGGCTTGTAGAGTTTCTGCCGAGAGATCCGCTGTTAGTCTGATGGGCTTCCCTTTGAGGGTAACCCGACCTTTCTCTCTGGCTGCCCTTAACATTTTTTCCTTCATTCAACTTTGGTGAATCTGACAATTATGTGTCTTGGAGTTGCTCTTCTCGAGGAGTATCTTTGTGGCATTCTCTGTATTTCCTGAATCTGAACATTGGCCTGCCTTGCTAGATTGGGGAAGTTCTCCTGGATAATATCCTGCAGAGTGTTTTCCAACTTGGTTCCATTCTCCCCATCACTTTCAGGTACACCAATCAGACGTAGATTTGGTCTTTTCACATAGTCCCATATTTCTTGGAGGCTTTGCTCATTTCTTTTTATTCTTTTTTCTCTAAACTTCCCTTCTCGCTTCATTTCATTCATTTCATCTTCCATTGCTGATACCCTTTCTTCCAGTTGATCTCATCGGCTCCTGCGGCTTCTGCATTCTTCACGTAGTTCTCGAGCCTTGGTTTTCAGCTCCATCAACTCCTTTAAGCACTTCTCTGTATTGATTATTCTAGTTATACATTCTTCTAAATTTTTTTCAAAGTTTTCAACTCCTTTGCCTTTGGTCTGAATGTCCTCCCGTAGCTCAGAGTAATTTGATCGTCTGAAGCCTTCTTCTCTCAGCTCGTCAAAGTCATTCTCCATCCAGCTTTGCTCCGTTGCTGGTGAGGAACTGCGTTCCTTTGGAGGAGGAGAGGCGCTCTGCTTTTTAGAGTTTCCAGTTTTTCTGTTCTGTTTTTTCCCCATCTTTGTGGTTTTATCTACTTTTGGTCTTTGATGGTGGTGATGTACAGATGGGTTTTTGGTGTGGATGTCCTTTCTGTTTGTTAGTTTTCCTTCTAACAGACAGGACCCTCAGCTGCAGGTCTGTTGGAATACCCTGCCGTGTGAGGTGTCAGTGTGCCCCTGCTGGGGGGTGCCTCCCAGTTAGGCTGCTCGGGGGTCAGGGGTTAGGGACCCACTTGAGGAGGCAGTCTGCCTGTTCTCAGATCTCCAGCTGCGTGCTGGGAGAACCACTGCTCTCTTCAAAGCTGTCAGACAGGGACATTTAATTCTGCACAGGTTACTGCTGTCTTTTTGTTTGTCTGTGCCCTGCCCCCAGAGGTGGAGCCTACAGAGGCAGGCAGGCCTCCTTGAGCTGTGGTGGGCTCCACCCAGTTCGAGCTTCCAGGCTGCTTTGTTTATCTAAGCAAGCCTGGGCAATGGCGGGCGCCCCTCCCCCAGCCTCGCTGCCGCCTTGCAGTTTGATCTCAGACTGCTGTGCTAGCAATCAGTGAGATTCCGTGGGCGTAGGACCCTCCGACCCAGGTGCCGGATATAATCTCGTGGTGCGCCATTTTTTAAGCCGGTCGGAAAAGCGCAGTATTCGGGTGGGAGTGACCCAATTTTCCAGGTGCATCCGTCACCCCTTTCTTTGACTCGGAAAGGGAGCCCCCTGACCCCTTGCGCTTCCCAAGTGAGGCAATGCCTCGCCCTGCTTCGGCTCGCGCACGGTGCACGCACCCACTGACCTTCGCCCACTGTCTGGCACTCCCTAGTGAGATGAACCCGGTACCTCAGATGGAAATGCAGAAATCACGCGTCTTCTGCGTCGCTCACGCTGGGAGCTGTAGACCGGAGCTGTTCCTATTCGGCCATCTTGGCTCCTCCTACCGAAAATCTTTATATCACATAATCCTGAGAAATTATTTGGGAATATCAAGGCTCTGTAGCAAGAGGTAAACATGGTATTAATTGTTCATAAGAAATTTTTACATTATAAAAATATTTGAGTACCTATAAAATTAAAGAAAAAACAAAGCCAATATTTTAAAAGTTAATTCCTCTCACTTTGGTTTTGAGTTTAGAATTTAACGTTTTAGTGGTGGTGAAAAGTTTAGATACATAGTGTTTCTCAGTTCTCCTTATAATCCAGACTAAATTTTCAGACTAAAAATAAATCAGGATATGTGCCTGGCAAGTACAGACACCTATGGGGACTGTGGAACAGCTATTTGAAAGCACATTTAGAACCTGACTGGAGGTGAGTGGAATCCATGACTGAGGGACCGAATTTTCCTCCTTGGAGAAAATCAGCATGATGGGGACTTAGGGTCTTGCTGATATGTTGTTAATTAAAAGGAATTCTACCAAAGGGGTAGAGTGGCTTAGAGAATGGTGCTAAATCAGAAAAAATTAGAATCAATACAGTGTGAGCCACTAGAAATCATTAACCAGCAGGAAACAAGCCAAAACAAAAGTTAAGATTCATTGCTGAATGACATTTTTGTTCCATCATCAAAATATATATCTTTTAAAAAATCATCAAATCATTAGTTTGTCACTGGTAATTTTAGTCTCTACTCAACTGAGATGAATCTATGTTAAATAAATGGACATATTTTGGGGAATCCAGTTGTAGTCATAGTTTGCTAGCAGTTTAAATATAGTAGATTCCCAAATTCCAATCCAATATTTACCCTTTTTCTAATATAGATGACTCTGCTTTTTCTTCCTATAGATGAAAAGAAATACATGAGTTGTTTTTGACACAGATTACAAATGTGCATCATAATATTTCTGGGATACGTTTTATTTTCTAGTTTATGTGCTCTTATAATTAACTAGATATCTTCAAAAGAAAGAATTCTAGTTCAGGGCTCAAATTAAGAGCAAGTAACTATAAACACAGTGCTTGATTCATAAAAATAAACAGCACATATGGGCTTCTGCTGCAGATGTTATACCCTGGAGTGTGCCCTGATTTATTTTCAGCTAAATAAGAATAGTACAATCACATAGATGTGTAATAACATATGAGTGTCAGTTATATTAGAATGCACTCTATGTGCAAGTAAGACAAGAGCATTTGCAAGTAGATTTTATTAACCTCTGAAACTGCAAAGTGTTGGTCATATTATTTTTTGCTTTACAGAGGGTAAACTCTCCCAAACCTGCTAGTACCCTTTATCTGCCATCACTCAGTCCTCAGGGTGTTTTGTGCTTATGCAGAGCACTGTACACATGAATATGACCTCTTCATAGGGAAGTTAAAGAATGGGCATTTTAGGCCAGGTGTGGTGGCTCACACCCGTAATCCCAGCACTTTGGGAGGCTGAGGCAGGCAGATCACGAGGTCAGGAGATTGAGACCATCCTGGCTAACACGGTGAAACCCCGTCTCTACTAAAAATACAAAAAAATTAGCTGGGGGTGAACCCGGGAGGCGGAGCTTGCAATGAGCTGAAATTGCGCCACTGCACTCCAGCCTGGGCTACAGAGCGAGACTCCATCTCAAAAAAAAAAAAAAAGAATGAACATTTTATTGAGCATTTGATGTGTGCCATGCGCATTTATTTACATTCAGTTACTGTTTGCAAATAGTTTAAGAAAACCCCCCAAGCCCCAATATTTGTGTCATTTATTAATGGACAACTCTGCCTTTTTTTTTTTTTTTTTTGAGACAGAGTCTTGCTCTGTCACCCAGGGAGGCAATATTGACACAATGCAACCTCCGCCTCCCGGGTTCAAGCGATTCTCCTGCTTCAGCATCCTGAGTAGCTGGGACTGCAGGCATGCACCACCATGCCCAGCTAATTTTTGTATTTTTAGTAGAGACAGGGTTTCACCAGGTTGGCCAGTGTGGTCTCGATCTCTTGACCTTATGATCCGCCCACCTCGACCTCCCAAAGTGCTGGGATTACAGGCATGAGCCACCGCACCTGGCCTCAACTTGTATAAAAGATATTTAAAGATAGTCAGCTGGAGGGTTTATGGTTTGATCCTCTGAAAGGGCAGAAAGTACCACATGGTGAATAGCTTTCTATCAGCAGGTGTCTTACATGAACTCTTAGCAGGCACAGCTCTTATTCCATTCCTGATGATGATGCTGTCAACAAGCAATCATATATTCTAAGCTGTAGATGTGAGCAGGAGTTGTAAATCCTGGATTGAGAAGAACAATCCTGGGATATCATGACTCTATTGCCTTGTTTTTCTCAAAATATTTGATTTACTTTTTGATGTTTTAATATACACCATTTTTCCAGGCTGCTGGTTTGGACATTCGCTAAAGAAAAAAAAAGGTGTGTGTGTGTGTGTGTGTGTGTGAGAGAGAGAGAGAGAGTGAGGATCAGTGAGGCTAACTTCAGTATCCTGTAATGGCTCCCTTTGGACCTTTATTTTCCTTGCCATAGGGGAGTTCCACAGAGCTCTTTTTGCCAGAGTCCAGTGTAGAACTTAATGTGCTATGAATCCTTATGGAACTGAAAGGAGACTATAGGGAACAATCATTCTGAGCCCAGGTTGGGTCTGGGAACCAGCTCTGATGAAAGGCAGGTGTATTAGTTAACCACTGCTAGGTAACAAACTACTGCAAAACTTAGTGTAGAACAATGATTTATTTTTATCTCTCATGGTACTTTGGAATGAGCTTTGGGCTCAGGGTCTCATGCAGGTCAGATGAGGGCTAGGACTGAGTCATCTGAAGGCTCTGCACATCCAAGATGGCAGTTCCTCTAAGAGCACTGGAACAGCTAGGACTGGCCGGGTATGTTTCTCTCACCATATAGTCCCTCTATCTGGCTAGCTTGTGCTTGTCCTAAGCAGGTGATCTCAGAGTAGTCAGATCTATATAGTAGCTGGCTTCCCCTAGGATGAGAATTCTAAGAGACCCATGTGAGAGCTGAGAATCTTTTTATGATTTAGTCTCTAAAGTCATGCAGCATCACTTCTGCCACTTTGTACCAGTCAAAAGTGAGTCACAGGGCTCATCCCAGATTCAAGAGGTAGGGGTTTCAACCAAGATATTAATCAAGGAGGCATGGCTCATGGCAGAGCCAACTTTAGAGACTAGCAACTATTGCAGAACAAGGATTTTTCTTCTTTAGAATTTTAGACTGAAGTGTGTTCTTGGCCTTGGCTCAATACCCCCAATGATACTGAAGGGATCTCCAGACTGGAAATAGGGGTTGTGAGTTCATTCTATGGTCACAAACCACAAACTATCCCTGAAGTATTGGTAAAAAGAATTCAGTGTCAAAGAAAGGTTTGGTCTTTTGTTAGAATTCATTACTTTAGAACAGGACAAGTCAACCATCAGATTGTGAACCATTAGATGGAAGTGATCTGACAGATGCTTACAGAGAAGACTGCACCTGTGAACAAGTGACTATTGCTTCCATAGACCTACACCTGGAGAAATCTCTATTCTCAGTCATTATGAACACTATTAATACTATTCATATTAATAAAGCAAAGCAGGATAGAGAGAACTGAGGGGTATTTCTCTGACCTATGGTCTATTGGTAACATCCATTCACATCTCACTATAGAGGAGTTTGTTTATGAAATCAGCTTGTTGACACCTTGTACCACCCTCAGTACTCTGAGTGTGTGGAATGTCAGACAGATGGGTTATGCATGGAGCAGGGAGAAATGGGTAAAATCAGAATTTTAAGGTGCTGCCCCAGAGATTATCTTTCCAACCCTCTAGAAACTACCCTGTCTCTTTTCTTCATAGAATTCCTTCTCATTTCCCCTTCTCTTTTGAAATTTGCATAATAATAATCACAAAAAGAAAAACAATAAATACAACAACAAAAATAGTATACCTAAAAACAGGGTGACCTCATACATTTACAGTTCCCAGACACCTTAACCCTGGTAAAAATTTATACCAAGAGTGTAATTTTAAAAATCAAGCAAACAACTGTGGATGGTCCCAGGAGAGTGGATAGACTAAAGATCAACTTAATAAATGCATTGCATATCCAGTCTCTTGGGGTCATGGTTTCACAAAAGAAAAATAAACGAAACAGCAAGAAACAGTGTGGCAGAGAAAATAATAAAGGGAAAAGAGAAGGAGGGAGTATCAGGAAGTTGAGAGAAATCTACAAAGAGGTTGCTCTTGTGGAGGAAAATACAATCACTACCAAACATGTTTCTTTGCATTTAGTGGTGAACATGAAAGATATAAAGTTTATCATAGTAATTTTCCTGAGAGATAGAAGTGGAGAGAAGATGAGAATGTCAGAGGGGGGATCTTGGGATAAATATCGTAGTCACAGTGATTTAGGGAGAGGGTTGAGGGCAATTTGTTCTCCTATGGTAGCTTGAAAGCAAAAACTTTATGAATTGGACTCATCCTCACTTTTCTCATGCCAGTATTTTTGCTGGTAGGATTGTGGAAATGCTCCTACCTCAAGAAAAATTTTTCATTGCAAGAGATTAATTTCTAAAAACTCCCTATAAGGCCAGGCGGTGGCTCACGCCTGTAATCCCAGCACTTGGGGAGGCCGAGGCAGGCAGATCATGAGGTCAAGAGATCGAGACCCTCCTGGCCAACATGGTGAAACCCTGTCTCTACTAAAAATACAAAAATTAGCTAGGCATAATGGCACACACCTGTAGTCCCAGCTACTTGAGAGGCTGAGGCAGGAGAATCACTTGAACCTGGGAGGTGGAGGTTGCAGTGAACCGAGATTGCACCACTGCGTTCCATCCTGGTGACAGAGCAAGACTCCGTGTCAAAAAACAAACAAACAAACTCCCTATAAATTAAGATGTAACCAAGAAAATGAGAAGTTGTAATTCATTGTGTAGCTTTGGAGTCCATTCCTGCCTCTGCCCATACCAGTGCTGTGGCCTGAACACGTTATTTATCTTTATTCAGCTTCAGTTTCCTTATCTATAAAATGGCACAGCAAAAGAACATGCTTTATCTGGCTCCTGTGAAGATTAGATGGAATATGTGTGCAAAATGTGGGCACATTAATGTACAACCTCAGCACATAGTAGTAGCTGGTATTATTATTACTCCATTGATATTAGTAATGATAGCACCTTTCAACTTTCTTCTATATTATTTTAAGTTCTTCCTCTCCCCCAAAAATGTACTCTCTGACTGTAAAACCAAATGCATTTTTTTGTTTTGCCCAGTACACACTGATGCTAATGAAACACTTCCAAGAGGCCACAGATGAAAATGTTTTGGCAGGGATGCAGTGTTTACCCAGATATACTGGTTAAGCCACAAAAACCTTTTCCATTTTTCTGCCCCTCAATTAGCTTTAATTCTTGACTCCACTGCTCCTGATTTTGGAGTGAAAGGGTTTTCGATGGTCCACTGGGCAGCTGGATTAAGCTGTACTTAAGTTACTTATATGCAGAAATAAACTTGTCTTCTTTCCTCTCATCCTTCCTGTACAATGGCACATTCCTACTAATTACATTATTCTCCGTGATTCTCCAGGGTCCTCTGGATAACAAGTAGAAGCAATGTTACAGGACATATGCTTTTACGCTTTATTGGCCACTGTTATCCACGGGCCTGACACTGAAGCTGAACAAACAGTCCAGACCCAAATGTGAAAACCCACCGATCGTCAATTGCATGAAGTCTGAATTTGATTAGAGTTGTCATTTCCCTGCCCTTTCCCGTGCTCATAAAAAAGGAACAGCTCTGAAATGCCTAAGAGATGCTGCTTGATTTAAGCCCTGTGAAATTCTAACCAAAAGGTAATAGAAACGAGAAACCAAGCTTATCAAATTTTCTTTAGGAGCATTGGTCTGTTTCACCTGTGGTAATTGGCCGAGTGCAGGCCTGCACTCCGACAAGCTACAGGAAGTTGCCGGAAAGAACCACCAATAAATAACCCAGTGCTTCAGAAAACAACCTTTTATGCTCTCTGATACTGATTTAGATGAGGTCTAAGAAAAGTGTAGAAGTACACAGGACGAGTAAGTAAATTGGGGTGACTTTTTGGGGAAGTAATAGCTATTGGTTAATTATGAGAAGAATTTCAATGGAGTGAGGTTGTTAATTGGATGAAGGACACTGTACAGAATGAAAGTTGGTTTCTATTAAAGCAGTTTAATAGAGGAAGAAGCCAACAAGAGAGTTTTACCTTCTTTTTCAGACACAGATAATTTAACCTACTTATTGGAGCATTTTGTAAGAAATAAAGGAGAAAAAAAAAAAACCAAAAAGCTCACAGGTGTCCTTTTAATTGAATCAGCACAGTTGATTTTGTGACCAAAATTGGTTAGGCTGTAGGGCCTTCTGCTAAAAGGGCACTGCATAGAACCATCCTCTGGAAAGGTGTCAGGAATGAAACTGTTTATGGCATAAATGGGGAGATGAATCTTAAATAGCTTACTCTGTAAATCTGATATTAAAAATAAGAAAAGTCATCAGAGCATTTCAGGTATATTTGACAGTCATATACCAGCCCACGTCAGCTTTGCCAAGCCTGATGTTCACACGCACAGAACAGCCCACTATGGCTCGATGAGTTTTGATGAAATTGAAAATTGGAGACAGAGTTGAGGATAATTCAATTCATAGAAAGGACCAAGAGATCAAAAAAGCCCTTATGTTGTTAGTGGCCACGTGCAACTTGGCTGCTCTTGAGGGTGAAGCAGAGAGTAAGTGTGAGGAAGACAAGAGCAGGATCATGTCATGGCAGTTTTGCTCACCATGAATCAGGAGCAAGACAGAAATTGGCCCTGGTGCTTGGACTTTGTCTGTTAAAGGGAAAATGATGCTTCTGGATCATCAAGTCAATTTTTTTTGTTCTTTTAATTTTGTATGAAATACAAGGTACACTTCACATCAAAGCAAGAAAGGAATTCCAGAAGTGAGTTTCAATTCAATGCTGCAAATATTTATTGAGCACTGTTATACTGGACACTGCTTCTGGATCTGAGCATGCTGGTAGATAAGAGATGACAAGCAATAATCAAGAGCAGACCATCCCTTTCCTTCAGAAGAAAAAGTCCAAGTTTCAGGTAACTCATCCCCAGTTATTCTGTATGTGAGGCAATATTTGTTGTACTCCTCACTTGAGAAGGTCCACAAATGAAGCTGTTTCTCTGGCTTTGTGCTAATTTAAGCATAGCTGAAATGCCCCTCTGACAGCATTTACTTCACAGTTGTGTCATTTCCAATTTCAGCAAATATTAGGAGAAAATAATTTCTCTGTATTGCATAAAGCCATACTAGAGGAAATGGGGGAACCAGAAAAGCAGCAGGCATGTTACTAGGAGTGCCAGATTCTCCTGCTGTCCCAGGCTAAATCTTGGCAAGGCCTGGGCTCCGCAACCAGGAGCTTTGGCTGTTGCCAGCTGCGGTGACACTATAGTTCCTTTGAGGACTGGGAGAACGTGCCCAGGATAACAAAGATATACATGTAAATAAGAAGTCTCTGGGGTTTATAGGCTTTTGACAGTTCACCACTGTCCATTTGTTGAATTCCGCATTAGTGAAGCATTAAGAATCATCTCTGACCTTTTTGTATGAACAAGAAGACCAACTGGGGGCCTGAAAAGTACATAATGACAAACTGGCAGTAATATTAGCAATAAAACTTTTGACAAATGGACATTTCTGGGTCTCTCTCTGGCCTGATTCCCATTCCGAGCCTTGGCTCCCTGGGTTGGAAAAGCATGCATCCCAGTTCTCTCTCTCTTGGGAGCCACGTGCTGCATGAGCTGCTTTCTCTGGATGGGTTGGCCCATCTCTTTTTTGGTTCTCCCCACAGCTAGCCTGGGAAGTTGCTATAAATCCCCCAGGAAGGCACTCAGCCCAGATCTTTGCTTCTGAGCCCTTTTCGATTGACTGGGGATAATAGTCCTGCATTGGGAAAATGGGTAAACATTTTAGCATATTTAACACTGAAATCCAGAGAGCACGGAAGACAATGCTTGCAAATCATGAACTATATCGCTCATTTGACACTTCATATGTAATACTTTGTGCTATTACTTACCTGTCTGGAAATTATTTTTTTTTCTTCATTATAAAAAGACTACATGCTTACTGAAAAATCTTAGACCATATACACAAAAATAATGAAGGATGAATTATAGAAATTATATGACAATTTCTATAACAATTTCAATTATACATTATTTTTGTGTATATGGTCTAAGATTTTTCAGTAAGCCTGTATTCTTTTTATAATACAGAGAGGAAAGGAGGCAAGAGAGAGACTTGAAAGGGGAGAGGGAGGCAAAAAAGTCATATTTGCTGATAGGGAAAGGTGAGGGGTATTACAGAAATTCATCCTTCCTATATACATACATATGTACACACACATATATATACCTATATATATATACACCCACATACATACACACATAGGTAATAAAGGACGAATTCAAAGTCATTTATAATTTCATTACCTAGAGAAAGCCACTGTTAATGTTTTTGCATTTATACTTCTAGATTTAACTTTATGTTGATACACACATATTTGTTTGTCAAAAATTTGGCTATACTATGCAAACTGTTTAGTAAACCCCTTTATGTTTTCTATATCAACAAATATAGATGATAATTATTTTTCGATGTGGCCTTATAGTATTCCATAATATAGATGACCATAATTGACTCAAGCTATGCATCATTATTGGGTATTTGGGTTATTTTTAATTTTTAAAGATTTTTCTCTTACATAAACACAGCTCCAGGGGACATTCTTATACATACATCTTATATACTTGTACATTTTTCCGTTTGATAAACTCCTAGAAGTGTAACTCCTGGGTCAAAGTGTGTAATGTAAGCCTTTTAAAGGCCTGTAATACATATTATAGTTTCCAGAGAGGTCGTACCAGTTTATTCTTCCAGCAGCAGTATATGAATGTCCATTTATCCAATTCTCACCACAACTCTGTGAGTGTCCTTTTCCCCATTCTGATGAAAACTAAGGTATTGACAACATTTTGATCTTTACAAATGAATTGTTGTTTTATTTCACTTTTGTTGATTGCAAGTGGCATTGAAGTTTTTGTCATGTATTTATTTATTAGTTTACTTGTTTCACTCATTTTCAAATGTCTTTTAAATGCCTAGTGTGTGCCAGGCATGTGCTATGACCTGGGGAAGCAGTAGTGAGAAAAAAACAGTTTTCTTCTTCATGGAGTTTAGAGTTTGCGGGGAGACTATTAGTCTCCTAGGGCTGCCATAACGAAGTAACACAACCAGGTGGCTTAAAACAACAGAAATTTATTGTCTCAGTTCTAGAGGCCAGAAGTCTGAAATCAAGGTTTTGGCAGGGCCATACTCCTCCAAAACCTGCGGGGGAATCTTTCCTTGCCTGTTTCTCGTGTCCATTGCTTTGCCAGCAATCTTTTCATGTCTTGGCTTGTAGATGTGTACTCAAATCGTCTGGTTTTACATTGTGTTCTCTGTCTGTCTCACATGAATGTCTTCTTAATGTCTTAAGAGGACATTAGTCATATTGTATTAGGGCCCCACTCTACTCCAGTATGACCCCATTTTAACCAATGATATCTGCAATGGCCTTGTTTCCAAGTAAGATCAAATTCTGCTGCACTGGGGATCAGGAATAATGCAACATACCTTTTTGGTGAGCACAATCAACCCATAACAGACACCTAGACATTAATTAAATAATTAGTGAAATAGAAAATTATATCTGGGTCATTGTCTAGGCTGGGCATGGTGGCTGACACCTGTAATCCCAGCACTTTGGGAGGCCAAGGTGGGTGGATCACCTGAGGTCAGGAGTTCGAGACCAGACTTACCAATATGGTGAAACCCCATCTCTATTGAAAATACAAAAATTAGCTTGGTGCGGTGGTGTGTGTCTGTAGTCCCAGCTACTGAGGAGGCTGAAGCAGGAGAATTGCTTGAACCCGGGAGGCAGAGGTTGCAGTGAGCCGAGATTGTGCCACTGCACTCCAGCCTAGGCAACAGAGAGAGACTCCATCTCAGAAAAAAAAAAAAGAAAATTACATCTCGGATTACATCTCGGTCATTGTCATGGGGTGGTAAGGGGGCTATGAGAGAAAGGGTTGAAGGAAAGGGGAAGGTGTGGGGGATGAACAGCCAGCAGGATCCCAAAGGTGTCTAGAGGGCAGAGATGGGCAGTTTGGGGACTGAGGACCAGTGTGATCAGAGTGCAGAGAGCCAGGGCCAGGTGTGTGAGGCGAGACTGCAAAGATCAGACCTGTGAGTGTGATCCTGAGAGCAATGGGAATCTACCAAGGTGATTGTTGTCTGTGGTAGGGGAGAGGATGACGGTTGGATTGGTGCTTCTAAAATGGTCACTGTGGCCTCACTGTGAGAAATGCACTGATGGGGTCTTAGTGGATGTCAGAGCCAATGGAAGGGGTTACAAGCTTTGGGTGAAAGATGGTTGTTTCGACAAGAGTGGTGGCTGTGGAGAGAAGTAAGAGGACAGACTTGAGAAGGAAGAGGGAGGCAAAGAAGTCAGTATTTGCTGATAGGCAGGGTATGAAAGGTGAGAGGGAGGCAATGTCAAAAGTAAGTCTACAGTTTTCAGTGCATGCAGCAAGATGGATGATAGTCCCCTCCCAGAGAATAAGCAACCCTTGAAAGAGATCCAGGTTATGGATTTCTTTGGGATGTATGGGTGGGAATGTTGAGTAGGTAATTGGATAGCTGGGTGTGGGGAGCATAGAGAGAACCTGAGGTTGAAGATAGACCTCTGAAAGTAATCTGTATATAGCTGGTTAATGGTGTGTGGGTGAGGAGAAGATGACCTGGGAAGAGGGTAGAATTAGGAAAACCTTTTCATGTGTGTATTTGTAAATTTTCTTTTAACTCTTTTGGGGGTTGCCAATTGCCATTTTTGCACACCTCCTGTAGGGATATTGCCATTTTCTTTTTCATTGATTTATAAGGGCTCTTTATGTGTTAACACATTTTTTAAATATATATTATATGATTTTTTCAGTTTGTTGCTTGTTTTTTAACAAGTTGGAGTTGTTGTTACTATATATGGCCATTAGGAGAGTTTTAGATATTTACATAATTTTAGTTATCAATATTTTTCTTTATATACAGTGTAGTGTTTAAGAGCTCAAGTTTTCAAATCATGCTGCCTGTGTTTGAATCTGTCTCTATCACTTATTTCCTGTGTGGTGATGGGCAAGTTATTTAACTTCTTTTTGTTTAATTCCCTTTCCTGTAATATAGAAATTACAGTTGCACCTATCTCATTATGGACATTTAATAACAATACACATGAAATCTTGAAAATAGTGCCAGGTACCATATATATATAAGTCAATAAGTATTAACTATTGTTGTTGTTAGGGGGTAAATATGACAAAGAAAATGGCAATTAAAATATATTTATAAGTTCAACTTCAAAGAGAATTTTAGAAATAAGTAGAATTAACCATCTGGGGAAACAAAAGCTGCACAAAATACCAGGACCAAAAAGTACAAGGAGAGTGGAAAACATTGAGGTCAACTTAATAGCATCTATAGGCAGTAATAGAAATTAAACCTGTGATACTTTGAACATTTTAATCACAGAAGCAAAATGTGGTGTGTACATACTTGAAAGAAAACCAGCTAGGAGAATCTCTAAGGGCGAACTGTCCAGGCTTCATAAAAGAAAATCTGGGACAACAGAATATGCCTTTGTTATGATGAAAAGATCATCTATAGAGGAGGCTGTAACAGCCAACTTGGGGCAAGGCAGCAGGTAGCACTTGGGGGGCTGCCCAGGCTGGTAGAGCTTACCACAAGGGGAATATGCCAAGGTTGAAGTGGAGTGGAGTCAAAAGCAAGAACAGGGGGTGCGTTTGGTTTGGAATAAATGTGTAAATCAAGCAGGTAGGTTGAGAGTTTCTGGGGTGCTGAATACTCATGATTCCTCTTGCCAATTTTCTGCCCAGCTGACATTGTTACATCAGAAACTTGGGGCTGGACAAGGCAGAGGAATTATCCAGATGCGTAAGGGGTTGGCTCAGGATTCGGATGACCTAGGCTTCCCTTTGCTATCACGTGAAGGCCTGTGTCTTCTCAGAGTGGGGAACTGATAGTCTACAATTGTTATTATTGCTATTATTAATATATAAATCATCATTATAAATATTATTAGTAGTGGTTTCTGTCTTTGATGGCAAGCTTAGAAAGACCTTCATGAATTTGAGATTCAAAAATATGTATCTCTATTTTCTTTCCAATACTTTCATAGTTGTACTGCTTTACTTTAGAGCTTCCATGTTAATAATTTTCAAATATATATCTGTCTCCCTAATTTCTTTTCTAAGCTCCTAGAGGTCAGCAAAAGTGTCCTTGTTACCCTGAGACCCTGCACAGAGCCAACCCTGGTGGACATTCAGGAAGTGTCTCTTGATAATGAGGGTGATGTGAGATTGATTACAAAAGTCGATGTTTTCCTTTGTGATTTTGGTGAGGCTTGTTTGTTTGTTTAAACATCTTGTGATGTTTGGTGAGGCTTTTGTTTTAATTTTTGAATGGTGCTCACTGTGATTGAGGTAGCCAGGTTAGGCTCTCTCACTAAGTGGTCAGTGTCCTCTATTGTTGGGGTGGGCTCAGGAGGACTCCTTGAGGACCAGCCTGTGGGATGCTAAACACACACCATCACTCCAGATGGTGTGACAGCAGGAGTTCCTAATCATTACCCCCACTCTTGAGGAGATAGCCCATGGCTGTCATTACTTTCTTGGAGAGAACAGGGACTAACAGGTGATAAGGAACCATTGCTCTCTGCTCCTATCCAGGGTGATTGGCTGTGTTGCAAGTGAACTGTGAGGACTTCATTGTCTCATTGTCCCCTTCCTGGGTTTGGCTGCCATAGTGGGAGAGAAGACTCAGGTAGAAGGTAAAGGGGCTTTTTGCCCTGAGGCCCTCAGCAGAGCAGGCTCCAGGGGCCACTGTGGCCCTTAGTTGCTCTAAACTCAAGAAAAGTCTTCTGGCTTCAGCCTGGCCTTATTTTGTCCCCCAGCTTCAAGGGGGGAAGGGGAATAAAAGAGAATTTAGAGTCAGCCCAGGATAGAGTTCCCTGGTCCTCCCTTGTTTCTTTATTTTTCTTTTCACTGCCTGACATAATTTGATTGATTTCTTTGCTTATATGTTTAAAGTGTGCTTTTTGTGTTAGGTTGTGAATTACTTGAGAGCAGTGGCCCCATCTACCTTGTTCACCACTTTATCCTCAGCAGGAAAAGTAGTATTTGGCACATAGTAGGTATTCACTATTGACATGTTTTAATTCATAAATGAATGGATTCATGTTGATTTTTTTTTGACAGCACTAAATGTTCACTTAGCTAAAACCTCTAAAAAATACCAGAAATTATCAAGACAGGCAGTGTTGACATGACCATTCACAGCCATGCAGCATCTGGATATGGGCACAGAACACACTAATACTTAGAAGTGGCCGAGTTCATAATCTCTGCACACCTCCAAAACATCTGTTTCCAGGGAAGTGAGTTCAATGCACGGACATAATAATAAATATCTGTAGATAATTAAGTGAAGTTACAAGCCCACAGTTTATGCTAACCTAATCATGACTCAAATTGGGATCAGCTTTCATTATTCTGAGTGGCCTTTGGTAGCAATGGGCATAACTGTTGTCCAACACTCAAAGCCTTCACTCATTCAGAGGCCTCATCTCAGCCAGTGGATTCAGATACTGGGGCCATGTGGAAGGGAGGGCTCCTCACCTTTCTTCTCTCACTGGAAGCTTCCTGATTACTTAGCCTTACAGATACTATTAAGTTCTGGAGCTCAGTTAGAGCTTCTACTTCCCAGGCGGGGGGCAAAGGAAGGGAGGGCAAGGGAGAAAACACTGAAATTTATTTGTGTAAGAGACATTTATGAAGTGCTTCTCAATGCCAGAGACTGCTGGCCCAATGTGGAAGCCCAGGTGAACTGTCATTTAGCCAAGGAAGAAAGCCATAAAAAGGAAGTTAACACTAGCCTTTATGTCTGAGATGAGAAGGATGAGATGCCTGTGAGATGGTGGTGAACAGCTTTCTTCATGTTCACTAAGAATAGGCAACAAACAAACAATCACCCCAAACCCAAACCAATGACATTTGGGTTAGAAGTGACTGTAAACTGAACTGACGTAACTGTAGGGGGGCATATTTTCTTAACTAGAAATTGAGTCACATGGTCTAACACGTAATCTGACAGATGGATGGAATATTTTGGATTATGACTGTCCTAGAAAAATCTTGTACAGATGGCATAGGTATAGTACATAGTCATCCACTTGAGGGGCATGGAGGAAATGCCATGCCCCTCTTCAAAATATATTTTCCAGTATTTCATATTCCACTATCAGAGACTTATTTCTGTGTCCTGTGCAGGCTTTCAGATATTCCAGCCTGCCTTATGCAAATGGAAATATTTCTGGTATATAACGTCTTAAACTATTTTCGAGATACAGCTTTTGGGGAGGGGAGTTTAGTTTTGAAAGGAAAGGTGTGAAGAATTGAGAAACTTCTAGGAAAGAGGAGTGATAGGGGGTAAAGAGAAACATTCTAATATTTTGCCTAGAGCTAGCATCAACTACAAGAGTTGCCAGATGGTGTCACAAATACCCAGGGAAGTTGTGAATCTCTTCTTTGGAGATTTGAAAGAAGAAATGACTGGCCAAGGGGCAATGCTGCCTGGCAAACGTGAGCCCAGAGCCAGTGCTGTTCAGCTCACAGCTGAACAATGAACATAGTGCATAAAGATGCATTAGGCCCTTTCTATCCTGTGCATATCCAATTCTGTGAATCAGAAGGAAAGTTCATGGCAATATCATCTCAATAAAGCAAATTCCTGCCTTTAAACTGGCAGGAATTTATGGGGCAAAATTTTATGTGAGATTATGACAGAATTCCACGTTCTTGTTCATGTCCCGTGCCCGTGATGATTTAATGTAAAAGCTATTTTTTTTATGGAAACAATGATCTTGAAAGATGTCAAATTTAGAAATGCTTATGTCATAAATTCACTGGGTGGAGAGCAGCTGAACAATCAAAATGTTCCAATCCTACCCCACCCACACCTCGACCACAGGCAACTCACTATGGGCAGCATCTCAGCAGACCTTTCTTAACTGAGTTTTGCATCACCTCCAGTCTTGACTACATGTTAATCACTATCAGAATATAACAAAGCAGAAAGCCAACAAATGGAAGAAGATACAAAGTTCATAAAGGTACCATGTAAGCTCCTCTGCTAGAAAGCAAGTTGCTTTCAGGTTCAGGTTTTATTATTATTATTTTTTTCATTTCCTGTCCCCTCCTCCAACCACAAAATGGCTTTAATATGGTAGGTTATTGTGTAATTCATGAGTGGATGGCTCAATTAGGCAGAAGGCGATTTTATTTATTTTTATTTATTTTTTTAAAAATTTCAACTTTTATTTTCGTTTCAGGGGGTACATGTGCAGGTTTGTAACATGGGTAAATCGCCCATCACTGAGGTTTGATGTACAAATGATCCCATCACCCGGGGACGGGAGCATAGTATTTGATAGGTAGTTTTTCAACAGATGTCCCCCTCCCACCTCAACTAGTCTCCAGAGTCTACTGTTCCCTTCTTTTTGTCCACGTGTATTCACTATTTAGCTCCCACTTGTAAGTGAGAGCATATGGTATTTGGCCTTCTGTTCCTGCAATAATGGCCTCCAGATACATCCATGTTGCTGCAAAGGACATGATTTCACAGGAGGCCTTTTTAATCATGAAATTTTTCTAACACCTTTTTATGACTCAGTTTAGATTTAAAAAAAGATTTATACCTACCCTCACACTTGTACAGCTCATGAAACCAAAAAATCTCAAAGATGGTTCAGAAGAGGTGATATATATATATATAGTTTTTAAAAAGAGTGAAAGAGGAGGATGCTTCATGATGTTCATAGCACCTGTATAAGTTTTTCTGTAGCTATCAATGACTGTGTAATACACTGCAGTTCTCAAAGCTGGGAATCTGTGAAAGATCATCCTGCTGTAGAACTTCAGTTGGAGAAATAAAATGGATTGGGAGGAACTTACGGGTAGAGAACACACCAATTTTCTCTGTTTCCTGAGTGCTCAGCCCAGTTTCTGGTGTATAGCTGTTCAATATTATTTTGTGAACTAAACAGTGGAATAAAGCTCTTCTAGAGGTTAAAGCATGGACTAAAAAATCCTTTACTTAATTGCCTTGTGAAAATACTTGGAATAAGCATAAGAAGTCCCTGTTTTACATGCTTATTCCTTTTGGCACCTCTGAAAAGCAGATCATGCTTTCATTTTACAGGATGTTAGTGTACAAGGCAATACAGAGAAATAACATCCCAGTGTTGGTCATAGTAGAGGATAAATATGCCAGGAGTTAATATATAAATATATATGTGTGAATGTATATATATGAGTATGTAAATGTGTGTGTGATCTCTATGTGTGTGTGTATATATATATATATATACACACACACACATATATATACACACACACATATACACATATATCCCTTTAACTGGAGTGTTTGACACAGCTCTGAGACTTCAAGCTTGGTAAGCATGAAGGCAGTGTTAGTACTCTAACACTATCAAGTACTCTAAGTACTTGATACCTGGCTTTCAGAAACTGGCAATACGTATTTTTAAAATTGTTTTTTTTTTTGGTTAGGCATGCTTTAGCTCAGATGGCTTTTGTGAAAGAGGTGAGGTCTTGTGAGCTCCTTCAGGGGCAGAAGAGGTCTGGAGTGCTGGGAAATGTGAGCAAGAAACTGTTTGAGGCACACAGTGCTGTTCAGGGACAGGTCTTGAAGAGTGCATGTGACAGCTGAATGAAGCTGCTAGTTTTTGGTAGAGAAGCAAGAGGGACATGTACTCTGACCACATATTTTAGCTCCTGTATGTCAGAGGGAGACCAAAGGCCATTTTATTCCTGTTTTTCCTGGTATTGAAAATAAGTTAGTGTGTAAATCAGAAGTCTTCAGGTAATGTAGTAAGGGGGTGAGAATTTTTTTTTGGGTAGGGGGACGGAGTCCCGCTCTGTCACCCAGGCTGGAGTGCAGTGGCGGCGCAATCTCAGCTTACTGCAACCTCCGCTTCCCGGGTTCAAGCGATTCTTGAATATATATATATATATTTTTTTTTTTTTAATTAATTAATTAATTAATTAATTTTTTTGGGTAGAGACAGGGTTTCACTATGTCGGCCAGGCTGGTCTCAAACTCCTGACCTCAAGTGATCCATCCGCCTCGGCCTCCCAAAGTACTAGGATTACAGGCGTGAGTCACCACGCCCAGCAGTGGGTGAGAACCTTTGGGCAACATTTCTGTTGATAGGCAGGGGATAGGCTGATCCTTGTCGTGGCATGTTCTTTATGGGGAAAAACCTACTGGTTCTGCTTCCAGGACATGAGCTAGAACACAATGCAAAAAAGGGTAAATGAGTATGTGTGTGTAAGTGTATATGTGTTAGCGTGTGTTTATCCTTGGTCTCCTGAAAATGTATAAAGTGATTTTTCCGGTGTTAGGTTAATTCTTTCCCATCGGAGATGTAAATACCTTCCTACCTTGTGAGAAAATAGACTATGTACTGCAATGTATGAAGTGCCCAAATGAAAAAAATTAAAGGTAAAATAAAGAGAAGTAGATAGAGACAGAGAGAGATAGAAAAGTGAAACATTGGGTGTTGTTACTCAGGGTTATCCAGAGAGACAGACAGAATATAATCAATATGACACACACACACACCCACACACACCCACACACACACACATATGTACACATATATATATATATTTCCATAATCGTGTGAGTCAATTCATTAAAATAAATATCTCTCTCTCTCTCTCTATTTCTTTCAATTCATTTTAAGGAATTTGCTCTATATGATTGTGTAGGCTGGCAAGTCCAAAATTTGCAGGGTAGGCCATCAGGCTGAAGACCCAGGGAAGAGCTGGCATTGCAGCTGGAGTCTGAAGGTAGTCCTTACCCAGAATTCCCTCTTTCTCTAGAAAGTCAGTCTTTTATCTATTAAGGCCTTCAACTGTTTGGATGAGACCTATCAGCATTATGCAGAATAATCAGTTTTACTGAATGTCTACTGATTTAAATATTAATTTCATCTGAAAAATACCTTCACAGAAACATCTGGAATAATGCTTGACCAGGTATTGTGTCAATGTATAGGTGCAGGTATAGGTGCACTGACCTAGCCGCGTCAGCACATGTATATATGTACATATATTGCAGAGTGTGTCCATATGCAGTTCAATCAAGGTCTTCTTGGCAGCTGCAGTCATGGCTGGGCACCAAAGAATGTTCAATAGGCATTTGTAAGCCTCCTATAATACACAAGAAAAATGATTTTAAGATACTTCTGTCTCTTTAGGTGAGGGAACTATTGATGTTTTGCAACCATGGAGGCGTGTATGAATCAAACCAAGACCTAGGACAGCTGGGATATAGAATGGTACAACCTAAGTAGCTCCAAAGAAAACTTGTATTTGTATTTATCTATATAATTATATTGTAACATATCAGATTTTAATAATTACTTTAGTTGTAATTTATATTTCTAGCAAATATTACTTATAATGTAACCTAAGGTGTGCATTTAGGTTCACATAATCCTCAATATATTTTTGTATCATCAGGTTAAGCTAAGTGAATGAGCAGTATCTATCAGTTAGATCAGGGGAAATGATACTAACTAATTTCATTATGAACTCTGCTCATGTAAAATCAGATGAACTCTGGTACAGTGGGAAAAGCACAGGTTTTGAGTGCCAGTTCTGCCTCATGCAGGTGTGCCAGTTAACTGATGCAATTATCATTTAAACTCTTGGAGGCTCAGTGTTTCCTTGTTAAGTGGAGATCAGACACCTATTCTTTAGGGTTTTTAGACTAAGATTATGTAACCAATGCACCGAGTAGAGTTTCTGAGGAAAAAAAAAAAAGAATTAGTGCTAAAAATTTGTTACTTACCCTCCTCCTGGGTTGGGTCAGAGTTGGCATGTCTGGCAGGTATTGTTAGTTGCCTTTCCAATTACCCTTTTCCCTTTTTTCTTGCTAACAGAGCTTTGATTTGGTTCAGGCCACATTCAGTTAAAGAAATCTATATTTTCCAGTTCTTTGTGGCTATGAGAGCCATTTAACATGTTCTGTTTAATGTGACATAAAGGGAAGTCATCTACTTTGCTGATAAAAGTGCCACCTCTTTTTCCTTCTTACTTCCGTCTTCTCCCTACCTGGTATGCAGATACGATGGCTGGAGGTCTGGCAAACATTTTGTGTCCATGAAGAAATGGACAAGATGTTCAGATGTGTCAGCACAGATATCTTTGTACCACTGAACCAATACCAGCAACTATTTTATCAGGATGACTTCTGCATCAGGAAAAATAAGAGCTTCTAATTTGCTTAATAGACTGCTGAACCAGGTTTTCTGTTACTAATAGTTGCTGCATCTAATCTAATCTAACTTTAATATGGAGGTTAAGCTTAGTTTAAATATGACTTTTTAAAAAAAGTTCTGTTAGGAATATTATTGACTACTCAAAAAACTTCCCTGTAAATACATGTTACTGGTGTCAGTAAACTATGTTATATGATACAAAACACCCCTCCTCATGCTCCACATGCCCTGCTATATTAACTAGTTTCCAGAGTCTTGTGGGTTCCCCTCCTTTGCATTCTCTTTACCTTTTGCCTCTTCCAAATTTTATTCATCTTTGTTTTTCATAATTGATATCACCCCAGTTATCACCCCATAATCGATGTCACCCCAGACAGAATTATCTCCTCACCATTAACCTCTATTCTTGCATAGCAGAAGGAAAAAAAGATTCATAATCTGTTCTCAGAAAAATACATTTATATATTTCTATAATATTTAATCCAGTTTTATGAAACCAGAATCCTTTGTCTTCCATTTACTGAACACTTTGAGGTTGTCTCTTAGGTACCGGCACTGTGCTCTAAAGCACTGCTGTAGTTACTTGCTGAACTGCAGTGAGATGATGCAGACATGGAGAGTAAGCATTTAGAAACTTTCATAACAATTTGATGTGACTAAAACATTCATTTTTATTGTATTTTACAAAAGTATTAGTCCATTTTGAATTGGAAATTCAAAAAAAATTTGTCCTCTTTTGTTTCTCCTTTTTTTTAAAAAAAATAGATGTTTGAGAAGCACAGCTGTGATGAGTAATTATCAGGTAGTATAAAATGTCACTATAGAGTTTGTAATTATTTTGAAAATTAACCTTATTTAACAATGGTATTCCAACGGTATGAGAAACAAACCTACTGAGTATTTGGATAAGTGAGGATTTGTTAGTATTTTAGTTCATGTACACACACACACACACACACACACACACACACACACACACCCCTTATGTGATTAGGAACCAACATGAATACTTACTGGACAATGACTCCTTTTTTTTTCCCCTTAACTAAATGTGATTGCCCCTTTGCTTATATAAACTAATACTTCAATACACAGAATGTTAATGAATTATTCTCAGAAGTAGGACATAATAGTGTCTATAACACATCAAGAGAAATTTAGAAATAGGACTATCTAAGATAATGAGAGGCAAGTGGGAATTTGGAGAAGAAGATAATTTGACGTATAGAAGTAATTATTATGAATTTTAAATTATTTGCTAAGTATAGCAACATTGAGATGTTTTCGTTAGCCAACTTAGAATTTTTTTTAAAAATGAGAATATAAAAGTGTAGAACAGCTGCAAGTATTTTGTATTCTTTAAACAACAACAACAACAGCAAAAACAAACTTCAATCCTGTAAAGCTCTAGAGAAAATCTAGGACCAATCCTGGGTGGCTGAACTGGAGTTTGTGCGACTTGTAGTTTATACAATAATCGTTCCAGGAAAAACTGTGAACCATGTCAGCCAGATGATACAGGGTATTTTGGCTTGTAACTCTTTGGCCAACACTTTCTTGTTTTCCTTAAAAAGAGACTTACTTGTGTGCTGTTGACAAAGACTTCAGAGTGCTGCTTGCCATTTTAGCTACTAACACAAACAACCTTGACAATTACAATCTATTTTTTTATCCCTTTTCACCCAGACAAGTAAGCAGTCATCAATTGTAGGCCCTCACATGAAATACAAATTTAGTACCATAGAAATGAAAACTAAAGCAATTTGTACCTTTACTATTCCAAGGGGAATCATTCTTGGTCTATTTACTATGAAATATTCCCTCTATCTTATACTATTCTAAGTTATATCAATGTCATCAACCATAACTTGAATTGTAATGAGTAGATGATATCTTACATGACTGGAATCATGTCATCATTATTAGATGACCTAGTTAGCATACGTGGTTAAAAATGCCGTTGCCTTTTTATTTATTGACTTATTTCAGAATGGCATAGGTTGTATCAGGACTGGGCTCTGGATGTGTTCTTATGAAATGGCATAATGTTTTGTTTATTTCTTTAACCCATGTACACTATCCACATACACTGAGCCATCCACACTATTTTAAAATATTTCTTTACAAACCATATTTTTTTCTATGACTTTTATTACCAATGCCTCTGGAAAAAAAATGTAGAACATGAGCAAAAAAATGTGATAGCCTTGTTTCAAAGCCTTGGTAGACTTTAGGAGGAGCCTCAAATTAAAAAAGATGTCAGTGAGAAAAACAAACCTTCTTCGCTGACCCCAAGGAGGTCAAATGTGTGCACAGTGTGCTTGCTTTCACTGCGCCTGTGTACATTCATGAGGGAAGGAGTGGGTGGATTAGCACTCCCTGAGGAGCTTTCTTGATACACCACATCCAAGGTCAGAAATCTTGTCACTGTTTCTTGCTTTTGCTTACAAATAAGAATATACAAAGGAAGAAAGAACCATTTGCCTTAGAGATGATGCAAGAATGTATCCTTACTTTGACTCTTCCTCGACTGAAACCTTCAGTTTGCCTTTAATGATTACTTCTTGCTGGTGTAGTTCACCCACCCCTCATCTTCCTAGGCCATTACTCTCTTCTCTTCAAGGGGTACCAAAATGCTCTAAATAAGCTAATTTTGAAAGAACTCACTGTCTTCTTTTCTCTGATTTATTTATTTTTTCCAAATTCTATTCAAGTCTCCTCTGCTCCCTAGGCATTCTTTGGAACACATTCTTAGCATATACGGGTCTGTTCACTTATTTGCTAAATTGGCTTATACTATTTCCCAGTATTTAAAAGAAATTAAGGTAGATTTTTAAAGTTAGGCAGCATACCTACTGAGCAACGAAATATATTTTCTTTAAAATATTTGTTCTCTTATAAATGCTTATTAAAGACTTTGGGTTCATAAGGAAACTGAGGTTTTCTTCATATAATATGAAAAGATCAGTGATTCCACAACATGTTTATTTTCTGACCTACTTTATGATCCTACTAGGTTAGTTGCATGATATCTAACTAATGATGTAGTTGGGATCTTACCAGATCATTTAATGATAAATTAGCTATAAGCTGGTCAGACTGGCTGAGCCATCTTTAAATGGTTTATGTTTTCTTTGCAGACCCAAACTGTGGGTAACAATAGAAAGTAAGAGTATTTGAATGAGTAGCACTTCTAAAGGCAGTAGTGCTTCTAAAGGCAAGAGACAATGCCCTGTAAGTTACATTACTTACTTATTGGGAGTTAAATGAATCAATTTTTAAATTTCTGTTATAAACCTGAAAACAAACCCTACCCTTTGAACCATTACTCTCACTGTAATGCTCATTAGCTGATGATTCAGTCTTAATATAAAAATGCCATGGGTTTCTTTTTCAGACTGAAAACTTAGCTTGCTGAAATGTGACTTAACCTTGATCAACAATAATCTGGCTATACTAATTAATTCCCCCTCTTTTCTCATTTTCTTCAATAGTTATTTTTTTCTTAAAAAAAACCCCAATATTTAAGAGTGTGGATGTGATATTCAATTAGAAATCAAAGTCACATTACTAAGGAAATCATAAACTTTGCTTCCCAACTGTATGCCCTTGTGACTAGTGTATTTTATTGCAAAGTTTCTTATTTATGTTAATCGTTGGCCTGGATTTGTTGTCCCTGTTCTTGAGCAGGTGGCATAGTGAGTTGTAAAGCTCACCAGAGCAATCTTCACTGCCCTGTGCAGAAGGACTTGCATTTCTGAATAGAACATACACTGGAAACAAAGGCCTGGATTGCAGCTTTAATATCAAAGCAATATGTTTCAATCGACTAAGCAGGCCACTAACAATTTAGATAAAAGGATGCACTGTAACAATTAATGAGCTTTAAAAACCCCTCATTGAGCATTAACCCTTTGGAGCACATAGGTATGTATGCGCATCATAAGCACTTATTTAGTTGGCATGTGAAAGCTTTCAGGACTGCATTCTGTTATTTAAATTTTCAATTAGCTGTTTATACTTACATAGATGGAAAATAAAGGAGTCTGATTCTAAACTTCATTGCTCTGATTATGAAGGATTCTTTGAGGCGAAATTGAATTGAGATGGAAACTGAAGTCAAGGTTAAGAGTCACTCTAACAACCAATAAATGTTTAATAAATGGCTTCTTTAGGTATAGACCTGTGTAAAACATGGTGGCATATGGAAAAGAGTCTTAAGTCATGGCCCTATGCCTCAGGATTACAATAAAAGAAGATAAAACTAGCAGTCATAAAGCAAATTAAGAGTTAATGGTATAGCGGTGATTGAAAGCACTGAGTTTACAGTATGGAGGGAAAGCGTCATAGCCTGGACTGGTTGGGAAAGGCTTTATCTGACAAATGGTCCTTCACCTGGACTTTAAAGGAAAGACTGAATTTGGACTCAGAGAGGTAAAAATAGGCACAAAGGTATACTAAGGGGAATGAACATGGTGTGTTCAGGGGCACAGGGAGGACTGATGGACGAGGCAGGAGCTGAAGAAGAAAGCAAATGAACACAAGATAAATTGAGTTGGCACCCTGATATTTGGGATTAGTGAGAAGGATCATGGATTAAATGCTGAGTTCTGAATCTTGCCATTGCTGACCAGGAAGGGGTTAATGGGCCCCCTTGGAGTCCCATTAAGCAGACTAGGAACCACTGGAGGTATAGAAGTGGAGCCCAGCTTCTAGATCTTTAGTGTTGGAGAAAATGCCAGGTTTGCAGAGGGAAAGACTCCTTTGGGCACACAGAGCTGGTTCTAGACAAATTAGTGAAACATGGAAGTTAGTCTTTGACGTCTCTCCTTTATCACTCCTGGGCCTCTCCTGTGGTTTGGTAGTTTTGCTCTGGTTGTGACTGCACAGTCATCTCTTTGTTTTGCTTTATTGCAGCCTAGCTTTCACTTTACTTAGTCTCATGTCTTGAAGGTCATAATCTCTGAGGTTTTGCCAACGATTTAGTATACATTAAGAAGAATAACATCTGGCACTACTGACCTTGGAGACAACATTGCTTTCCTTTTTTTGGTGAATATTTTTATATTCTTTTTGTTAAATAAGTCTTTTTTAAAAAGGACTTTATTATTTTAGAGAAGTTTTAGCTTACAGCAAAATTAAGAGGAAAGTACAGAGATTTTTCATTATCCTCACTACCCCCACATATTCACAGCCTCTCCAATTATCAACATCCCCCACCAGAGTGGTACATTTATTGTAATTGATGAAACTACCCTGACATGCCACAATCATTCAAAGTCGATAGTTTTTATCAACGTTCACTCCTGGTGTTGCATATATTATATGGATTTGGACAAATGTTTAATGATACGTAATCATTGTTATAAAATTATCCAGATTATGTTCCCTGCCCTAAAGATCCTCTGTGGTCTGCTTATTCTTAGTCCCTGGCAGCCACTGATCCTTTTACTATCTCCAGAGTTTTGCCTTCTTCAGAATGTCATGTAGTTGGCATCACACAGTATATAGCCTGTTTAGAATGGCTTCTTTCAAGATGCATTTGAGTTTCCTCCATGCCTTTTTAATGTTTGGTAGCTCATTTATTTTTAGTACCAAATAATATGCCATTGTCTGGACATATTACAGTTTATTTATCTATTTATCTTCTGAAGAATATCTTGGTTGCTTCCAAATTTTGGCAATAATGAATAAAGCTGTTATAAACATCCACATGAAGGTTTTGGTGTGGACATAAGTTTTCAACTCCTCTGGGTAAACAAATACTAATGAGTGAAATTGCTGGATCATTTAGTAAGAGTATGTTTAGTTTTGTTAAAAAAAAAAAACTGCCAAACTGTCTTTCACAGCGGCTGTACCATTTTCCATTCCCACCAGCAAGAAGTAAGAGTTCCTGTTGCTCCATATCCTCACCAGCATTTGGTGTTGTCAGTGTTCTGGATTTTGGCCCTTCTAAAAAGTGTGTAGTGGTATCTCATTGTTGTTTTAATTTGCATTTTCCTGATGCCTATGATGTAGAGCATCTTTGCATATGCCTGTTTGCTATTTATATGTCTTCTTTGGTGAGGTGTTTATTAAGGTTGTGGCTCATTTTTACTTGGGTTGTTTATTTGCTTATTGTTGAGTTTTGAGTTTTGATTTTTTGTGTATTTGAGATAATAGTCTTTTATCATATATGGCTTTTGCAAATATTTTCTTCCAGTTTGTGGCTTACTTTTTCATTCCCTTGTCAATTTCTTTCAAAGACCAGACATTTTTAATTTTAATAAAGTCCAACATATCAATTCTTTTATGGATCATGCCTTTGGTGTTATACTAAAAAGTCATTGCCATACCCAAGGTGTTCTAGGTTTTCTCTTATGATATATGCTAGGAGTTTTATAGTTTTGTATTTTACATTTAGGCCTGTAATCCATTTTGAGTTATTTTTGTGAAAAATAAAACTGTGTCTAGTTTTATTTTTTTCACATGTGGATATTCAGTTGTACCAGCACCATTTGTTTAAAAGGCTACCTTTGGCCCATTGTGTTGCCTTTACTCCTTTGTCAAATATCAGTTGACCGCTGAAATGTGGTTTGATTTCTGGACTCTCATTCTGTTTTATTGATCTATTTGTCTATTCTCTTTCCAATACCTCACTGTCTTAATTATAGCAGCTTTATAATAAATCTTCAATTCGGGTAGTGTCAGTTATCCAACTTTGTTTTTCTCCTTCATTACTGTGTTGGCTATTCTAGGTGTTTTTTCTCTCCATATAATCTTTAGAATCACATTGCTGATATCCACAAAATATCTTGCTGGGATTTTGATTTGAATTGCATTGAATCTATATATCAAGTTGGAAGAACTGACATCTTGACAATATTGAGTCTTCCTATCCATGAACGTGGAATATCACTCCATGTATTTAGATTTTTGTTTTTGTTCATCAGACTTTTGTTTTCCTCACATGACTCTTTAACATATTTTGTTAGATTTATACCTATGTGTTTCAGGTTTTAGTGTATTAATGTAAAGGATATCATGTTTTAAATTTCAAATTCCACTTGTTTACTGCTGGTAGATAGGAAAGCAATTGACTTTTATATATTGACCTTGTAGACTAAAACTTTGCTATAATCTCTTATTATGTCTAGTTTTTTGTTGATTCTTCCAGACTTTCTACATAGATGATCATGTCATTTGTGAACAAATACGGTTTTATTTTTTCCTTCCCAACCTATGTACTTGTTATTTCCTTTTCTGGTGCAATGTTGAAAAGAACTAGTGAAAGGGGATATTCTTGCCTTGCTACTGATCATCGTGGGATAGCTTTGAGTTTCTCACCATTAGGTGTGATGTTAGCTGTAGGATTTTGTATTCTTTATCATTGAGAAAGTTCCCCTCTATTCCTAGTTTACTGAGTTTTTGTCATGAATAGGTGTTACATTTTGTCAAATGCTTTTTCTCTATTGATATGGACATGTAATTTTTCTTTTTCAGCCTTTTGATACAATGGATTACATTAATTGGTTTTCAAATGTTGATCCAGGCTTGCATACCTGGGATAAATTCCACTTGGTCATGGCCTATAATTTTTTTATATATTGTTGAATTTTATTTGCTAATAGTATAGATCTTTTAGTATCTTTAAAATCAAATCATGTAGCCACCCCCCTCTACTTATATGGCACTCATGCTTCATAAATTCTGATTTACTTAATTTTTAAAAAATTGCCAAGCACTTATTAAATGATACAATCTTCTTTTGGTTTTGGGTGGCTAATTCAGTTATTTAAATCATATTATTAAGGCAACATTTCCTTGTATAGGCCATTTAACCTCACAGAGATAAAACTGTAGTTCTGTACAGAGAGATTTTACTCCCAGATTTATATATAACCCTACAAGGGCCTTTTAAAGGGATCCAGGTGGTTTACTGAAGCAGTCCTCATCACTACTCAAAGTATGTACTTCTTGATGCCTTGAGAGTGGCAACAAGAGAGGACTGGCCAGTAACATCAGATGGGAATACATAAAACCATTTTTATTTTTGGAGCCTGACTTTATTAGTTTAGAAAATAATTTGAAATCCCCAAAGTTTCTTCATGGGTTCTGCATCAGTTACTTTTTAAGATGACATGGTGAGTTGCTAATTTGATTGATTCTTACCAGATTTCATGTCTGAACTTTCCTTTAAGATTTGCCTTTTGAGAAAGAAAATATAGGGCAACAAGCATAGGAAATAAGTCTTCAAAACTCCAAGATAATAGGAGGAAGATAGCAACTGAATTTTGTTCAGCATCTCAACTCTGTTGAATTTCTCAATTGAACTTAATTATTAATACTTGAAAAATGTTATTGGGCAATTTCAAATATAATGTATCTATAAGTTGCCCAGTGCCAAACTCTGGTATGGTGATGTTCATCATCCCATTGTCTTGTTTTGCAGGGGTGGTATCCAATAAAATTGGTTTATTGAATAATTAAATGATTGAAAAGTGAGATTTTCATTGTAGCTGGTAATTTGGCATTTATAATTATTTGACCATTTGAAATAAAGAAAATGGAAAATAAGGTAAATCAAATATAAATCTAAATGCTAGCCATCAGCAACCTGTTTTCTTTTAAGTCACCAAAGGTTAAAAATGAATATTTCTCATGATTAACTAGGATTAGCTTTTCCATTTTTTTAAAGTTTAAAAGTCTGTATAAAACTGTATTTTATGCTTTTAATCAAATACATTAATGTATTAATCATTTTCAAAGGATTTATAATTAGTGCATGATAAATGGAATATTGTTTGTTTGAATATTATATATTAGTAAAGCCATGTAATTTGGAAGACTAGATTTGATTTTATCTTATTTAAGTGATCTTCTTTAAAACATGTTCTGTATATGGTTTGTACGGAATTCTGATCAGTTACTTTTTACATAGATAAAACCTGGTCATTTCTGGAAGATATTTATTGCAGAAATTTTGTCAGTTCATTCTTTTAAAGATTATGTTCTTGTCATGTTACATGTCATTGTTGACACCAAAAGAGGTGGAAACAAAAATTGCAACTTTTATCCATCATTTGAAGATTTCTCACTAGACTTTCTAGCACAATTTATCAAAAATCTACCCTCTTAAAGTTAAACATTATATATAAATGTCATATGGAGAAAATCATTAAAACTGAATTTTGAAAGTTTGCCTCCTCCACTTTCATTTGATTCTTTATGGTAAGATGTCTCTCCCTCATGTCTCTTATCATCATCTAACTGAAGTCATCTGAGTCTTGTTATCAAGGAGACAGATTTCTATAACCTACAAGATAAGGGATCATTGCACACCATCTTATGTTCTACTCATTGAAGGTGGAACTGTTCTAGTCCTTTGGGAGCAATTCTAAGTATCATGGTTTAAATATGAATTTCAGAGAACATTAGGCAAAAACATGCATAGAAAGGTTACTGTCTTATTTCATACTAGTTCTTTTTGAAATCAAAACTAACATTCCAGCCAGGCATGGTGGCTCACTCCTGTAATCCCAGCACGTTGGGAGGCCAAGGCCAATGGATAGCTTGAGCCCAGGAGTTCGAGATCAGCCTGGGCAACATAGTGAAACCCTGTTTCTACTAAAAATACAAAAAATTAGCTGTGCATGGTGGCATGCGCCTGTAGTTCCAGCTACTTAGGAGGCTGAGGCAGGAGAATTGCTTGAACCTGGGAGGTAGAGGTTGCGGTGAGCTGAGATCATGCCACTGCACTCCAGCCTGGGCAACCCAGTGAGACGCTGTCTCAAAAACAAAAACAAAAACAAACGAACAACAACAAGAAAAACACGTAACATTCTTCTCTGTAGGGACAGGGTAGGTGCAATTCTTACCAAACAGAATAAAGATAGATTCCCTTCATAACATTTCCTGTTGTGGTAGATTGTTATAATAATGTCCTTTAATGAGTTATTTCACCCTGTGTCCATGCCCTTTTGTAATGTGATGCTGCTGCTCCCACTATGAAGAGGTAGAATTTATCTCTCCTCTCTGTTTAATGTGGGCTGGTGTGTGATTTGCTTTGACCAATAGAATGTAGCAGAAGTGACAGTTGTATGAATTCCAGAGCCTCAAGATACTTTTAAGATTTTTCTTCACTTCCATGGAACCCAGAGACCATCCTGCTGCATAGAAATCTGAAATGAAAGATCATATGGCAAAAGGAGTTCCAATCTTCCCAGCCAACAGCCAGCACTGACTGACTGCCAGGCATGGGAGTGAGGCCACTTTAAAATTTCCAGTTTAGACTAGCTGTTACTTGGCTGTAACCGCACAAATGAGCCCAGCCAAGATCAGCAGAAGAGTCATTCAATCAACCCACAGAATAATGAGAAATAACAAAGTGTTTGGGTGTTAAACTACTAAGTGTTGGGGTTAGAAAGACAGCTGAAACACCAATGAAACACTAAGTTTTGTTGTATGAGAAATAACCCAACTCTGTAACTTATCCTAAAGATTACTTTCAACTTTTATTTTTCCAAACACTTTGTACTGATCTTTGCTAAAACCATCTAGCTGACTGGAGAACTTCATCATTTCATAAAGGATCCTTGAAGTTTAGTCTACTACAGAGGCCATCCCAGTACTCTGTATTTCTTTGTTGGGTCTTGGCTGTACTGTGGAATGTGCTTTGATTGAGCTGCTTTTCATATCCAAGGTAACCCAAATTACTTCACAAAGGAATGTGCTGGAGGGTAGTGTCTCTGCAGGCCATAAAAGAACAATTATGTAATAGCTCATACACCACTTAGGATTTTAGAACTTGTCTTACTGAGAGGAAGTGTGAAGAAGAGGGAAAGTAATAAATAAGTATTGGACCACAAATATAGAGAGGAAGTAATAGATTAATTACAACACCTCCCAAACTTTCCACATAATCCACGTAATCCTATACTTTTGCAATTTGCTTTTTAAAGGACATCAATGAAATGCTGGTTAAGTAAGTCATAATTCAGTTCTGGAGGTATCCTGCATAATTACATACATTTCTTGTTTCTAATTAGCAGACAAATAAAATTATATGTAACTTAATTTGAATTCGTTCATGTTATATATTCTTTAATTTCTTTAATTTATTGTACAGTAAAATTTACCTATATTTGAAGTCCCTTTTGATATACTCCACATTTATGGGCACCATAAAAAATGGGCATCTGAGTCATGTGTATATATAATACATACTGCAACAAAATCACAAATGTTGTAATCAGTGGATTATACTTTCCCCTTGTTACCATCTTTTAAAATAGGGTCTATTAAAATGTAGAAAAACAATAGCTTGTATAAAGTCTTATAGTAGAACTTAGACAGAGAAGGATCGGAGAAAAAGTGCTTTAGATTCCGGCTGCTATACCGAGAACTGAGGAAGGAAAACCTATTTTCCATGATCTAGACTTTTGTTACCTCTGGCACAGAGTAGTAGGTCTACATTAGACTAATACAGGGTCAAGTTTTCATTTTTTAAAGTTCAACTTATGTTTCCTCCTTGCTTTGCCTAAATAATGCTCTTCTAAATAGGTGTGGATTCCTTAATATCACTTTTCAGTTTGCTGTGCCTGTGCCTGAAGAATCTAGGTTACCAGGAACATTGTAATTAAGCTCTGACAAGGAAGTTTGGGAAATATCTGCACTGCAAAGCTGAGGGATTCAGCAACTATCTTACACTCTGCATTAGGCAAATCTGAGAACCTTAATGTGCCAAATAACCCAGTTTCTCACCACACCTCAAGAATATATGTTCCACAGTTTTTAGGTAATCTTTTCATCTTAGATTTCCTTTTCAAATGTTCCCTCAAAGCTTTCCATAGCTTACTACCCTTTAAAGTATGCACAGTGCAGTGGAGGAGAAGGACTTAACTACTTAAACAATAGTGTGTTGAGGCAGATAAAAGAGATATGGACAAAGTGCTAAGAAGGGAGAGTCATAGGAGTATTGATATCAGGGCATCAAGACAAGTTTACTAGACTAGGTGGAGAAGAAGGGGTGGAATACTCCAAGTTGAAGGGACAGCACGTATGAAACCACATAATGGGTTGTTTAGAAAATAGTAAGATGCTTCTAGTGAGTAATTGAGTTTAAGGTTTTTGAGGGCAAGAGCTTTGACCAGATTGTGAAGGAAGTTTTATGCTACAATGAGAAAGAAACTTAGTTTTGAATTTAACTTACTAATGGTTGTGCAACAATAACTTGACCCCTGAATACTGTGCCAGTGGTAGTTCTTTCTAGGAGACTGCTTTATTATGCATAAGACTCAGGTAATAAGCATGCAATCTACTGACATAAAATTATTTATTGTTTAATTATGTGAAATCATAATGGTGAGTATCCAAGAATTTGGCTTTATAAAAACTGAAACCTGAATAGGTAGAATGATATAGAACATATAGAAGCAAATTAAAAAGTTGTAACTAATAGATCTGGTGCTAGTATTAATTGAGGGTAATTAAAGAACAGGATCTCTTTATTGTAATGAGTTGAGATAACCACCTAAATAATTGACATCCAGTACCCTTGTTGACCTGGATTACCTGAGGTTTTTGGCTTTAATGATGTGATTAGTTGCCACCAATTCCCCATTTTGCTTTGCGAGCATACTACAACATCATGAATAAATAGGCCACCAAAAAGGAAATGGAGTTTTCTGCAAAGATGATCAGAAACAATTTCAAAGGGCACCTGACAAGCAGGGGAATAGTAGTTATGGGGTGAATTGCAAAGGAAAAACAGAACTTTATTTTTAATGCTTTTGACCTAAGGTAAAATTATTCCTTATTGTAAGAAAAATCAATCATCTTAGTTATGCTTAAATTGCTGCAATTTAAAAATTACTTCATACCAAATGAGGACACCTTTCTCTTCCCTCAATTGTGTTTCCTAATATAGTTTTGTGCATGGGTACTTCTACTATGAAAGTTTTCTTTGCTTAAACATTTGGTTTCTGCTGTAGCCTCTGGAGATGTGCCTCTCATTTGTGAAGGCTGTGTAGAGGACAATGATCCCATGAACCTTACTCGCATGCTTACACACAAACAGAGCCATTTAAAGCAAATATCAGGTGTTAATAATTTACAGCAGAGACAGATTATAAAAGATGAACATACATTCGTGCTTTAGAAAATTGGTGCTTAAGAAGTACAGACCAAAAAATTAATAAAATACACTCACCACATTTTTCTCCTTGGTGCATCAAAGTTAAAAATTAAATCAATATCATTTCAGCATGAGATAGTGGTGACAGCATGTGGACATCACCGGAGTAATTAAAGAGCCAATGAGTTTACTTGGTAGGATGGAATTCAGCCATAGTCAGTAACTGCTTCCAAGAAATCTATTTACCCCCAGGTATCCTCAGGCATGTATGGGAGAGTGAAATGATTGAGTTTTAGTTATCCTCATATGCAGCAAATTTCAATTATAATTCCTACTGTAAAAAGAATTGTTATAGTAATATTATCCTGAAGTTCTTCAAGCTTACAGGCACAAGAGATTTAAGTGAAAGAACATTTTTGTTTGACTGATTCTAAAATCTCACGTCATAGATTATTTTTCCCCCATTGGTTGGAAATTCCTGGATTCAACTCACAGTTTTTGCTGTTTCTGGAGCTTAGATGAGGTGCCTGCTTAAGAAACAATTTGTGGAAAACAACAATAAAACTTTGCTTTCAAAGTTTTTTTGATACCGTGTGCCCAGATTCTCTAAGGAGGTTTTTACCCCCAATTTAACACATAATGAGTCCCTATTACCTTCTTACCATTTTTATGACACACTTCAGAAAGACCAAGATATGTTTAGAAGCATAGATGTTGAAAAACAGGTTTCAGCTCAAGTGCCAATCCCAATAGACTGTTAGTGGGGCCTTGTGTTGAGACAATCAACAGAAGAAAAAATGGCCCAATTCATTAGCATTGTCTTCTGTGCATACAGGAACTAAGCAGGCCACAGCTATCCTTGCTTGGCTCATTAGGACAGGCTTTTAGAGAGCACTTCAAAGCAAGGCTAGAGATTTGCATCATTTTGTTTTTCTTCCAGACTTCAAGAGCCAGGTTCTTGTACTTTACCTACAATGCCTAGAACAATTCTTTGAACTTGAAGACCTGGCAAACACTCCTCTGATTACTTCAGAGTCCTCAAATAGGAAGCAGTATCTTTGCCATTGATTTGCCTTAAATGCCCAGGCTCTAGCTAAGTGTTATCCATAATTTTATATTATATCCTTTCATTTTAAAATTTCTTAATTTTTATCACAGAAACGTTAGTATAATTATGTTTTCAAAGAAAATATTTTCCTAAGCATAAGTGATTATAATCACATTTCATAGTCTTATTTTCTTAATGTGTTTTACATAAAAAGAAAGGTTTTATATTCATCAATAAAATCCTATGAAGTCATTAGTACCTTTTGGAAATTTTCTAATTAACTAATTTGCTTTACCATTTTCCACCTAAGAAGTAGAAAATTAACATTTACCATTCTTCTTTAGAGAAAGAGGAACATTGATCGGGAGGATACATTATATCCTCTATATTGACAGGGCAAGTTTGAGATTATTTTCCAATGAGAAGTTCTAGAACTGTGCCCTTCTCAGAAACTTTCTGGCACTGGAGCAGCAATGCAATATCTTGCTCAGATATTGAACACATCCTATGGAGCTGCACTGCCCAATACAGTAGCCACTAGCCAAATGTGGCAATCTTAATTAAAATTAATAAAAATTAAACAGAATTTAAAATCCAGTTCTTCAGTTATAATAGCCACATTTCAAGTTCTCCATTGCCACAGATAGTGTGTGGCTTCCCTTGTGGGACAGTGCAGAGCAGATATAGAACATTTGCATCATCATAGAAAGCTCTATTAGAAGTCCTGTTTTGAAGGCTTTTCTGTTGGTGAGACAGTGGTGGTTCATTTCCCACACTGCTCCCTCACATAGCATGAACATCTATAATTGCAAGAGACATTGCCAGAAGGTAGATTTTCCTAATATATATTCAGCCTGCAGATTTACCTTTTTCCATTTATTCTACAGATCAAAATATTTACTTATAGAAATTGTCACAATAGTCTTCTCATTTGAAGCTGGACTTTTATCATCCTGTTGTCTCACACTGTTATCTGTGCTTTATCTATGAGACTGTGAGTTAATGAAGGCAGGAGCTTTGACATAAACTTATTTTGTATCCCAACTACTTTTTCCTTCTCAGCATTGCTACCAACTAGACATTTGTTGAATTTGAATTGAACTATTTTCTTTCCTTCTTTTCTTCCTTCCTTTTTTTTTTTTTGTTTTCTTTTGAAACAGCATCTCATTCTGTTGCCCAGACTGTAGGACAGTGGTGCAGTTATAGCTCACTGCAGCCTCAATCTCCTGGGCTCAGGTATTCCTCCTGCCTCAGCCTCCTGAGTAGCTGGGACTATAGGCACACACCACTGCAGCCAGCTGATTTATTTTATTTTATTTTTTGTAGAGATAGGGTCTCACTTTGTTGCCCAGGCTGATCTTGAACTTGTGGCCTCAAATGATCCTCCCACCTTGGCCTCCCAAAATGCTGTAATTGAACTATTTTTCTGACTAAAGATTCTAAGTTCTAGAGTAGGATACTCTGGCAATGGTGATTTTTTTCCCCCAAATGACAGACTTCAGCGTTTATATCAAATAGAGTGGCTTAAATATATTTTTTGAAGGGTGATGTTCTAGGATATATTGCTTAAAGGTCTCATTAGTGATAGGAAAAATAAAAAGAATCAAAAATTATTTCTGCTATTCTATGTATTTCTAAAGGATAATGAATGCATATGTATTTTTACATACCTTTTGGGCAGTAAATAAATCTAGAGAAAATAGTGCAATAAGATCATCACATACACTGTATTTGTAGCTTAAATTGAACAGTTTAACACTCTGAAGCTGGTTAAAAAAAAAAACAAAGAAAGAATAGAGGTAATTCTTTGAAGTGGTTGTATGTGCATAAACTTCTTGTCCCCTTGAGCAAAAAAAAAGAAAACAGGTTACATTTATTAGGGACTGGAAATTATTTGTACTGTGGGACAATTGCTTGTTTGCAACATTAGGGAAAAGTTATAAAAATGTTTTATTTGCAGTTTTTAATGGAACTGTGGTTATTTCTGACTTTTATAGTCAGTTCTGCCTTTGGATTGGCTTGCACCCAAGGAGCACGCCCCTTATAAGTTAGAGGTCTGGGCCCTCGCCTGGCTGCATGCACGGCTGGCCCTTTTGCTGATGCTGGAGCACATGTTCAACATCTCCCTTGTCTAGAGACTTCTGTGAGGTCTACAGATTAGCAGCAGCTGGGAAGTCAAAGGCTGAAAGGATGGTTGACTGACTCAGTGAATAAAACTCTGGACATTACACTACCTCTGGCTTGGAGCATAAGGAATCAGTCCTGTAGCTCTCAAAGGGGTGGAGAAAGAATCTTCCACCAGCCTGGCATGGCTGGTCTGTGTGTGCTGAACCAAAAAGCAAACTGAACAAAGACATCTAAATCTACAGCTCCAGTTAAAGAGCTGAGAGGCTAATCCAGTATACAGAAAGTGACATTCAAATTGCAGTTCTTTGCACATTTGAATGTGTGCTTATTCCCAGGCACAGGAAAACATTATACACACACACACACACACACACACACACACACACATATATATATATATATATACACATATATATATATATATATATATATATATATATATATATATATATATCTATTCATTCCTCTGCTCCAGCTCTGGCTGGTGTCTGAAATAAATTGATTTCTAAAACAATGATATACATAAATAACATAGGACCACTTTAAAAAATAGATCTCTTTAATTTACAAAAGGCTTGTACGTAAAAATCTGCATTTGTTTCATGATAGCACTATACTATTACAAGGACATTGAATGTTCAGTACCTAGCTTAACCCCTTGATAGTCAGCACATCATATAAATCTGAAGTTACAGATTTCTAGCACACTTCTATTTTCAGTCCTTTGCTTTGCACCATGCTACTTAGAAACAAAAGGCCTAAAGAGGTTGCTAATAAATCTAGATGATTATGAAAACCAGTCGTTTGAATTTTGAAATGAATTAAAGTTCAATGAATTAATTTATTAAAAAAGGAAACAATATACAGTAGTTACAAGCAGGGACTCTGGATCTAAACTGCCTAGATTCAAAACGTGGACTTGCCATTTACTAAATAAGTGATGTTGCTGAAGTTACTTCTGTGCCTCAGTTTCATCATCTGTAAAATAGGGGTAATAATAGTACCTATCTAATAGAGTTAATAGTAGTAAATGAGTTAATAAATGGAAAGCTTTAGAACAGTCTTTGCACATAGTAAGCACCATTTGATGTTGGCTATTATAATCATTATTGTAAGTTAAAAGTTCTTAAATAGATATTTTATTGTGAAAATATAGGCATCCTCGTGGTTTAGGTGGTGAGTATTATTCCCAAAGACTTGCCCAGATTCTTTGCTTTCTTAAAAGTATGCACATCAAAGTTTTTCCAAATATTCTTCACCAAGATAAAATAAACCTACAAAAATTATAATGAAAAATGTGTATTTGGTATATGGCAATTTATAATGTGTTTTTCCCACCTTTATAATTTCTAGATATGACATCATTATTTTCAGTTTGTAAATAAGTTTCTGGCAATTTTTATTTGAAATTAATTATATGTTTTATGTAATATTTTAAAAGTCTATCATACTCAGTGTTATAAAAGATTAATTTTATTTAAAGTGTTTTTTTCATTTAAATATGAACCTCTTATCTGCTACCTACATTTTTAAATGTAACCTTTAGTCTGACACTTGTTATATTTGGAAAAATAAAGAAAAGCTCAAAGAATCAAATGGAAAACACCCACAATCCCAATATCCAGAAATAGTCATTTTCCAAATTTCAGTGTGTTTACTTCCAGGCCTTTACTCCATGCATGTGTGTATGTATCTGTATGTAACACATTCGTAAAACAAAAGATAATTAGGATCACACCCCACCTACTTTTAAGCACCTACACAATAGTGAGAGGCAGGGAAACCCAGAGATTATGAGTGGGGAGTCAGAGTCACACTGCTAGAGTTAAAATCCTGGCTCTATCATTTACTAGTGATCTGAACATAAATGAATCACTTATCATCTCTTAATCTCATTTTCCTTATCTATAAATGGTGATTATAATGATATTAAAGCATTGTTGTAAGGATTACTTAACATGCTTCAATAATAGCTTTTTATTATTTTTAACACTACATCAGGAAGGTCTATTTTTTATTTTACATATTTATGAATTACAAAGTGCTGTTCAATACATATATACAATGTGTAATAATCAAATCAGGATAATTAACATATTCATCACCTCAAACATTTATCATTTCTTTGTGTTGTGAACATTCAATATCCTTGCTTCTAGCTTTTTGAAACTACACAATAAATTACAGTTAACCATATTCATCCTAAAGTGCTGCAGAATACCAAAACTCATTTCTCTTATCTAGCTGTAATTTTATATCCACTAACCAACCTCTCTCCATCCTCCCCTCCCCTCTACCCTTCTCAGCCTCTAATACCGACAGTTCTACTCTCTAATAAAGATTTATTATTAAATAACTTTTGAAACATGGGTTTTAATAGAAGCATATTTTTTATGGTTACACTATAAATTATCTAACCATTTGCTTCAGTTCATTTTCTTTTCACACTAGGTAACAGAAAAGCCAATTAAAAGTGGTCTTAACAGTAATGATTTTTTTTATCTCACATACCAAGAAGTCTTCAGCTAAGGCTTGTTTCAGAGTGGATTAATCTAGCAACTCAACAATAGCATCAAGGGCTCATGTTCTTCCCATCTCTCTACTGTTCTATTCTTAGCATATGGATTTGTTGTCCTAGGCTAGATGCTCTCATGGTTCCAAGACACTGGCCCAGTTACAGGCATTGCATATGGACACCTCAATGCTGACAAGAAGAAAACAGAAGGTCTCCAACTAATGCCCTTTATAAAAGTAAGGGAAACTGCCCGAGGCCAACTTGCCTTCATATTTCATTGGATACAAATATGCTGCATGCTTATTCCAAAGCATGCTATGGAAGTGTCATTATTCTGACAGGCTTCACAAATCCTGGGCCAGAGAGGACACATCCTCACTGAAGCCCATGGCTGCCCTACACATGAATTAAATTAGGGTTCTATTAGTATTAAGCACCCAATACCGTCGGCCACATAATTATAGTTTTGATCGTTCTTGTTGGTTATAATTTTCTTATTATGCTACCATAATCTTATTCCTGAACAAACTTACTTGTGCATATCTTTAATTGGGTCCCTAATTTAAATTTCTAGAAATGGAATTCTTAGGTAAAATTTATTTAGTTTAAATCTTTTTATATATATTGTCAAGTTACCCACAAAAAATGTTGCAGTAATAGCTTTCTCAGCATCTGTTCATGAGTTTATCCTTTTTCTTACACTCCAGCTATCACAGGGCATTACCATTTTACAGGTCTTTGCCAGGTGAAAGTTGGTATCTTTTTTTATGATTAATATTTTCTTGATTAATAGCTTCCTTGCTAAATTCTTTATTTCTAATAGACAGGTAATAGATAATTTCTAATTTTCCACATAGATAACCATATAATATAGCATATTAATAGTTTCAATTCTTTCTTTCCATTTCTTATACCTTTAAATGATTTTCTTGTATGCACTGTTGGCTAAAACCTCCAAAACAACGTTGATTTAAAATGGTGATCTAGGACAGTTTTGTCTTGTTTTCTGACTTTTAGGAGAGACTTTTCAATATTCAATGTTTGCAAAGGCTTTTTTAAAAAGATAAATATCCACTTTCAGGTAATTCTTTTCCTATAATAGTAAATGTTTTTTAATGTTAAGAAGTGTTGAACAATGAGAGCACATGGACACAGGGAGGGGAGCATCACACACTGCGGCCTGTTGGAGGGGTGGGAGGAAAGGGGAGGGAGAGCATTAGGACAAATACTTAATGCATGCAGGGCTTAAAACCTAGATGACGGGTTGATGGGTGCAGCAAACCATCATGGCACATGTATACCTGTGTAACAAACCTGCAGGTTCTGCACATGTATCCCAGAACTTAAAGTAAAATTAAAAATAAAGAAGTGTTGAAACTTATCAAATGTTTTCTCTGTATTTATTGAGGTGATTTTATAGTTTTTTTTAATCTATTATACTGGAGAATGACATTTGCCAATTTTTTAATGCTAACTTACCCTAAAATTCCCTGGGATAAATACATTCTGACTATGGTAAATTATTATTTTATATACTCCTGGATGCATGTAAGATGCGCTCTGTGGGCTCCTCAAAGTATTTGGGAAACTAAACAAAAGTAGCTGGAAATTTCACTATAGAAGGTAGGGCCAGAGCTGTAGCTGGAGAAACACAATTTGTTGCTGAAATTGCAAAACTATGTTTGTTCTGTAACTGTGTGGTTTGAAGTGTGGGCTGCAGAGCTAAGAAAAAATTAAGACTATGTGGCTTTTACTCCGAATAATATTTGCTTTAACAAAATAGTCCTCACTGGCCCAGGATCCAGTTAATTTTGTAAAGGCTTGTTACCTGAGATACATGTGGCAAAAAAAAGCAGTTATTGTCTCAATATTGCAAAGAATGCAGAATATCTGGGCTCTATGGGAACTCTAATTAAGGCATACTGATTACCGGCGTTTAGAGTTGAAGGGTCATTCTCTTTGTCATCATGTGAGGGCTTTAAGCTCTTAAATCAATACCTCCAAAACAATGTGATATGAATAATGTAAAGATGTCATAAATGTCAATACAATGATCTCACAGAATGATGTGCGAATTATTGCCTAAACAAATGACAGGCAAGTATTTCTTTTTGGTGAAGGATATTGAAAAAAAGAGAAAAATGAATTTAAATTATTTTAAAAGGCATGCTATTGAGATATTAATGATTATTTGAAATAGAAATAAGTTACAATCAAGAAGGAAAAAAACAAGGGGGCACAATTAATATTAATTAATTGAGTACCTATTATGTACTAGGAACTTTATTCCTGCTATGTCTCTTCAGCCAAAAACTATCATGCGACCTCCACTTTATAGATGAGGAAACAGAAATTTGGAGACATTAAGCATCTTGCTACAACTGTACAGTTGATAAGGGACTGAGCTGGGATTCAAATTAAGTCAAGTCATCTTTAAAATCTGGGACCCCTTTTCACTTTACCACCCTGAAAAACATGAAAGAAGGCAGTTAAAAATTATGAGCTCTTATGCCACTAGTGAGCATATGCCTAATCAAAAATATTAAAGATACTTACTTGTGATGAAATTTATCTTATTTTGAATACCTATGTTAATTTTTTTCACATTTATGTACCTTCTAATTATACAGACACTTGCTTCATTTTCACTTTGTTATTTTGACTTTTTTAAAAATTAAAAGGAAGCTTTCTAATTTCATTCAGTTTTTCCTTCTAAAACAAGGTGGAATGGAAATACAGGGATAGAGAACTACTTGGGAATAATTTAGTTATTACTCATGTTGTGCCTCTATAACTTTGGTTTAAAAAACCTACTTGCCTTTCCAACAGAAAAATGGACAAAGGACAAAGAAAGGAATTTGAAAAATGTATAGAACAGGTTTAATGTCACTGGTAAATTTAAAAAATGAGAGAATAAAGTAAGCGTATAATTTCCAACTTATAAATTTAAAAAAACTGTTTAAGATTATAATGCTAATACTGGCATGTGCTTGAGGATGTGGGCATGGCTGTACTTAGGTGGCTGAAAAAGAATTGATATAACAGACTGTTCTACTGGAGGGCAGTTTGGCAATGTGTACAAAAATATACAAAATATGAATATATTATGACCCCATATACAGAGTACAGAATATAGCATAGAGAGTACAGATACCCTGTTATTAAGCAACATATGGATTTACTAAGACAGCAAAGAGATCAAGGCTGAACTTCTGGGAATGACTTGTAAAGATACCTGCACAACTGGTCACCCAGGGCAAGCCACTGACATGGTCTGTTAAACTGGGAAGTACTTCTCTTGGTGCTAGCTCCAGAACCTTGCTACTTCTGCTACAACTGATACTAAATAGATGCTTCAAGCCCATTTTTGTCTCTCCAGTTCTGACTTCAAGATCCACAGGAGTACATTTCATAGCAGATTTTTAAAAAATCTTTTGACGTGTAATAATTATATATGTATTTGTGGAGTACCAAATAATGTTGTGATACATATAATGTGCAGTGATCAGATCAGGGTAATTAACATATGCATCATCTCAAACATTTATCATTTCTTTGTGTTGGGAAGATTCAGTATTTTCCTTCTAGCTATCTGAAACTATGTAATATAGTTATTGTAACTATGACTATAACTATAGTCATCCTACAGCACTGTAGAACCCTAAAATGTATTCCTCTTATCTAGCTTTAATTTTGTATTCATTAACAAATTCTCCCTTATTACTCACCTTCTCCCTACCTAGGATATAAATGACATCTGGAATTCTAGCTGAGTTGGGTTCTGGTGATGTAAGTTGTAGCTTCTCAGCTTTTGCTGTCCAAGAAGGCATTGAAAAAGAAGATTGGACTAGATATTGATGAGTCAACCCTCAATTCCACCACACTTAGCAATTCTACTTCTAAAGAAATTATGCACATGCTCAAATACATAGCTCAAAGAATATTCATTGCAGTATTGTTTATAATAGTGGAAAATTGGAAACAATTTAAGTGACCAAAAACAGAGCATTTATATTAGTTATAGACTATTGTAGAACCATTGAAAATGAGATTGCAGGAGAAAATCTAGATGACATCCTTGCAGTGAGTTTTTAGATATAACACCAAAAAGACAATTCATGAAAAAAAATTCATAAGTTGGACTTTCTTGAAATTAAAAACATGTGTGCTGTAAAAGACAGTACTAACAGAATGAAAACGAAAGCCATAGATTGAAAGAAAATATTTCCAAGAGACATATCTGATAAAGGACTTATATCAAAACCATACAAAGAACTATTAAAACTCAACAATAGGAAAAAAACCCAGTGAAAAACTGGGCCAAAGACCCTAACAGACATGTCACCAAAAATGACATACAGACAGCAAATAAGCATATGAAAATACGTTTCACATCAAATATCATTAGAGTATTGCATGTTGAAACAACAATGAAATAGAACTGCACACACATTAGAATGGCTAAAATACCAAGCTAGAGCTTGCAGAGATGTGGAATAAGAGGAGCTCTTATTCATTGCTGGTGGAAATGAAAAACAGTACAGCCACTTTGGAAGACTGTTGGGCAGTTTCTTACAAAGCTGAGAAGTCTTAACATAGGATCCAGCAATTACTCTTCTAAGTATTTATCCAATGTGTTGAAAACTCATATTTACACAAATACCTGTACATAAATGTTCATAGCAGCTTTATTCATAATTGCCAAAAATTGGAATTAACTAAGATGTCCCGCTGATAAATGGATAAGCAAACTGTGGCACATCCAAACAATGGGATGTTATTCAGTGACAAAAGAAATGAGCTATCAAGCTATAAACAGACATGGAGGAAACTTAAATCCATATTACGAAGTGAAAAAAGCCACTTTGAAAAGGCTATGTACTTTCAACTAGATGGCATTCTATAGCACAGTAAAAAGTTGGGGCTGGTTGGGGGCAAAGGGGATAGAAATGAACAGATGAAGTACAGGAGATTTTTAGGGCAGTGAAACTATTTGGCACAATACTTTAATGATAGAAATATTTTTATAACAAGAAAGAAGTAGGTTTTATTTAATTAAAAAAAGGGCCTCTCCCTAAATATCAACTTCAAATAATTATTTTTTAATTGGTAGATGTTATTGGTAAATTCCCAAAATGGTAAAAAAAAAAATTCTTTTTTTTCTAAAGAAATAAACTAAATCCACCTAAAAATAGTTTGAGCAGTTGTTTTTTCCAAAGTGATGATCATTTTGTAATGCCCAATAGTTATTTTTGCATAGACGTTAGGCTGCAAGGTCAAACTCACACAGTTTGAAATTGAAGTCATCGTCTTTCTGTCTATATGTGCTCCTCTTCCAACATTCCTTACATCTAAAAATTGCAGTACTGCCATCCCAATATCCTAGAATCAAAATCACAAGCATCTTTCAAAATATCTCCTTCAGCTTCTAAATCAAAATTCTTTCCTGCCTCCCCAGTACATCCATCATGCAATGATGCGATTATTTCTTTTTTGTTATCAAAATGTCCTTCAAAAACCACCAGTAACAGCATTGCCTAAGGACTAGGATTCATACCCTAGTCGAGTGTTTGAAGCTTTCCTTTGTCCCAGTTTACCTCTCCAGGTGTATCTTCCAGGATAGTCATGTTTCCACCCAATGTGCCCTACACAAGACGACTTTATTTCCTCCACATTATGTACATTACTGTGTTAAAACTTTCATTCTGTATCTTAAACTTGAAACCTTCCTTGTAACTAATTTATCCACCACAATGTCTGTGGCTCTTGAAAGTCTATTTTTGCTTCAAGTCTTTAATCAGTTCCTTGAAACATTTACTGTTTTATTTTATACCCATAAAAATCCATCCATCTCCTTTGTGCTCACCTGGAACTGTGCTGAGCCTCTATTATAGCACTCTTTTTAATCTTCATTGTGTCATGTGAGTGATGTCCACATTCATTTTCCTCTATAGACCACAATATCCTTTAGGATAGGGACTTTGCTTTTGTATCACCTAAAACACACAAAGTGCAGATCTTTGCACAATAAATGGCTGTTAAATTGAATTGATTTAAATTACATTAGAAGTCATTTGAAAGTGCTAGCAAAATACCATTAATGGTGTCTATGTAAGATGCTTTGAATTAAATGTGAGGACAAATACATTAATGCTAACATGCTCTCAAGCAAACACCACCAGCTCTGTGGTGAAGATTATCAAACATCAGCTTTCCTGCACAAGACTTGTGATTAGAATGCCTGATTCTGTAAGTTCAGAATAAGTTCATTTTTCTTATTTGAATCAAGATCAGAAGACTACATCATAAGATCAATGTAAGAAAAAGTGTAATAGACACACAATTTGAGACGAAGTGGCCTGAGATCATTTTATGTCTAAGAATATGTGTTAATACAATGAAGGGGTAGTGAAAGAAGCAGAGGAAATAATGTGTGACCATGTTATCTTCACCCCTCCTCTCCCACAAACCAAGCTAACAAACAACTGGTGATCCAGACTTTTCTTTTGTTGAAAATTAAATAATCTTCTTATAAAAGTGGTTATTTGATCATTACTGTAAATGGGAACATGTAAAATGTGGTTTGACATCCCTTCAAAAAAGAAACTAATATGTTAGTCTTCAAGGTCCTCTGTGAATTCGTGAAGCATTTTAATAATAACTGATTTTTAATTTATTAGAAATGGAAGAAACATCAAATGGCATTTTCTATAATGCATTTTTAGGAATCCACAGTTATTTCCTATCATGGAAACATATATTCATATGTAAACCCAAGACGCTGTCCATGGTCCTTACGCTTGCGTAACACTGGAGCAGCAAAATCCTAGATTTAAGAACCGCAAGAGGAAGCTTTCACTGTGCAGTAACTTCTTATAATCACTTATTTTTCCACTTGATTCAAGAAGGAACATTTTGCTTAATTTTTTATTTATTCATTTGCATATAAAGTTGTGGCCTGTATGGACTGTAAACCACTAACCCCTTTTACACTGTTTAATGTCATATATTTTGCTGTCTTGTTTTATGTAGCTAAAAAATAAGCTTTGTGTAATAGTAAAACAATAAAATAAATTATTAAATCATCTTCTGATGATTTAATAATTTGGTAAATATGGTAACATGGTAAATATCTGGGGCGTGTGTATCTGTGAGAGGTAGAGAGAGATGCTCATTTTTTTTCTTAGCTTATGCTTTCATATGGATTCTTTTACTCTGTTGTATACCAATAGTCTATGAAATAATTGGCAATAAAAGGCTCTACATACAACATACATGCAAAATTTGTCAACTTCGTAAAAAACTAACCTCTTTAAAAATATTTTTTTAAACCCCAAAGCATCCCATATATGTGCATATATGTGTTGGATCTCTTGATAGTAGTGTTGTTTAGATAAATTGTTTCAACTGCCATTACATCATAAATCCTGAAAAAATTCTGCAATACAATGTTTCCTCAATGAAAACAACATACCCAGCAATACAAATAATTTTAAATCCATAAATATAACTCAGGAATTAATTTATTCCTCTGCATTCAGACAGTTGGGGTGAGGTTGGGCTGGACAGGTGATATAGTGCAGCAAGCACTAAAATTTAGAAGCATGATAGGCTCAGCTATAAGAGTGCAATGTTTAGTTTGAATTTCTTCCATTTATCATCTGTGTCACACCTGAAATACTACCCAAATTCAGTGTGTATTTTGTATATGTGGTAATCTAACTTTATAGGGAATAGTCTAGTGATCCTTGTTTACTATCAAGATGTAATGCTGGTGATTAAATTACAGATGACACACCACATCCATTCTTATTAGAGATGTGCAGGCAGTAAAGTGTTTACATTTCAGTAGATGATTTGAGCTGCTCCTCTCATCCACTTCTCATTGTATTAAACTTGGTGATTATCAGGGGGCACTTCAGAATATACTTGCTCAAGTTACATGTTTGCCATCTTATTAAGGTGGGTCAGTATATTCACATGCTAGTCCTTCTCTAGGTGGTTGTAAATTTTGAATGAGAAGATGCATATCAGAATGGTTTGTACATTTTAAAGTCCTATAAAAATAAGATGGGACATTATATTTATGCAATAGATATTTATTTAGCACCCATTTTGTATTGGCAATTCCTGTAGGTGTTGGAGCTAACTTAGTTGGAAAAAAATCCCTGCCTTTGTGAAGCTTATAGTCTAGTGAAGAGAAACAGATAATAAAGAATTAAAAATATAGAATTTCATGAAGATAAGTCCTACAGAGAAAAATGAAGATGAGAAGAGGGATAGAGAGTAACAGAGGCACATATTAAGCACTGAAATTTAAAACAGGATGGTAAGGGAAGTCTTGTGAGATGGTGAATTTTGAACAAAGGTCTAAAATAGTCAGGGGAGGGATAACTAGGAGAAGACTGTTCTAAGTTAGAGGGAACAGCAAGTTCTAAGCTGGAGCTTCCATGAACTGTTTGAAGAGCATCTAAGAGACTAGTATGCCTGAAGCACTGTGAGAAAGGAGAAGATGAGAAAGGTAAGGTGACACAAAGATGGGATAATGTGGAGGCTTGTCAATCAGATAAGATTTGGGTGGCCACATGACTGGCTTTGGCCAATGGTATATAAGTGGCAGTGACTGTTATTCTGAAGAGCCCATGTGCTCCTCACTGTTTTCTTTTCCTCTGAGCTGCAGTTGACAACGTTACAGTTGGTAGCTCTTACAGTGGCCTAGCTCCTGGGCTGTTTGAGGTAAAATGATATGAAATGGAGAGCTCATCTGCCCTATAATGGACAGATAATGTGAATAAGAAATAAATCTGTTGTTTGAAGACACTGAGATTTTGGCTCTGTTACTGTAGCATAATGGAACTCCTTTTAATTTATATAGAAAATCACTGGAAATTTTTGAGCAGAGGAGTTATATAATCTGACAACTATAACAAGTGTGTTGTTACATCTTCTGTGTCAAGAATAGTCCACAGAGGGCAAAGAGAGATACAAGAGATGAGAAGGACACTATTATATAGGCAAGACTCAACCAAGGAAATAGGAGTAAGGTAGTAAAACATGTTAGGATTGGAGGTATAATTTGTAAGAGAGCATATAGAATTCACTGATATGCTGGATATTGGTATGAGGGAAAGAAGAGAGGTAAGAATAACTTCAAATTTTTTTGGCCTGGACAACTGAAAAGATGCACTTGCTATTTACTGAAATGTGAATGTCTATAAAGGAAATGAGTTGCGAGTGGTAGGATCAGGAATTTTATTTTGTACTTTTGGGTTTGAAATGTGTATTAGTCATCTAAATGAAGACATGGGGTAGATAGTTATCTACAAGTATGGAGTCCAGGGGAGAAGTATAGACTGGTGGTAAAAGTTGAATAGTAATCAGTATAGATGATATTTCGTTATTTTAAAATAATTTTTCACCTAACTCCAGTATCTCGAGCCTCTGTGAATTTCTTTCCATTGTCTTTTTTTAAATTTATCTCTTTATAAAAGTAATGTGGTATTTTCTTTTGGTATTTTTAGTAATTTTTGGTTGAACGCTAAATATGAATTGAATAACAACATCAACAATGTCAACATTGCAGAGGCTGTAGATGATATTATATTTCTCCAGAGAGGATTGAACCTACCTTTATCTAGGCCAATAGAATGATGGCTGATAAGGCTGGATTGTAGCACTGGTAAGGCTCAGTCTAACTCTAATTCACCCCTAATCCTTTCCCTGATAGGTCCTGAATTCCAGTCTTTGTCTTGTGAGGCTGTTGCAAGCTTTGCTCTGCTTTGGGGGGCTTTCTGCTTAAGTTTTGGGTCCCTTGCCCCATTCAACACCAGGACTTGGAAAATATCTTGAAAGAATAACCAGCTGTGTATAAGGTTACCACAAGTCTCTTACAAATCTCTGCTGGTTTTCCTTGTCCCTGGAAATGGCTCCCCTGTAGGTAGACAGGCTGAATTCTAAGCCTTTTATTTGCCCAGAATAGACAAATGGGCCAAGTACAATGGCTAAGGAAGTCAGCTCACTTCTAGGAAGTTCATATCTCTTCCAAAGTTAAGCAGTTCCAGTTATTACTGCCTCAGCAGCACTCTGTTGACTTAAACAGATTATTTTTGAGCTTTATTTATGAACTTTATTTAACTGTGAATGTTTTCACAGTTGTTCTTGGTGAAAATGCTGGTCTTCTGCTCTCCACTCCTTGCTGTCCAGAAGAAGTGTTCAGATAATATTTAAGGTCATGAGAATGGTTGAGATATAAAAAGGAATGAGTGAAACAGAGGAGAAGATTGAATACTGAAGTCTGCAGGATCCAAAAATGGAAAGATATCCATAAATACAAGGAAAAATAATCATATTCTGTATGGTATTCAATTGTACTTAAGAAGACCATATTTTACAACTGAATTGCCTATTATCACCTTTGTTATATTTCCAATATTTATACTTTTTCTTTCCAAACAATTAATTGATTAATAGCTTTACTATGGGACTCCAGTTGGCACAGATTCTTCTGGGATTCTTCTGATAATTTCCTTTTCTATCCCAGATGAACTGAAATAGGTGATTTTGTTAACAATTTTATTCATGAGTTAAAGGCAGAAATACTTTTAATATGAGTAGAATTTAAATATGAATAAAATTGTAGAAGCTTTTGAAACCAGTACATTAATCTCTTATGACTATTATATCGATTAGTATTCCGGTAGGAATGAGATAGGATGATCAAATTGAAAAATTTCAAGGAGAAGGCCAGGCATGGTGGTTCTCGCTTATAATCCCAGCACTTTGGAAGGCCAAGGAGGGCAGATCACCTGAGGTCACGAATTCGAGACTAGCCTGGACAACATGGTGAAAACCCCGTTTCTACTAAAAATACAAAAATTAGCTGGGTGCTATGGAATGCACCTGTAGTACCAGCTACTTAGGAGACTGAGGCAAGAAGAATTGCTTGAACCTGAGAGGTGAAGGTTGCAGTGAGCTGAGATCATGTCACTGCACTCCAGCCTGGGCAACAGAATAAGACTCCATCTAAAAACAAAAACAACAACAACAACAACAACAAAAACAAACCCAAAACAAACCCAGAAAACAAAAAGAAAAATTTCAAGGAGAGTTTAATGAAGAGGCAGTTTATCAAGAGGAGGGCAAGGAAAACACAAAGGATAGTGCTATGCCCTAGGGCTAGAGATTTAGGCATTGCTATAACCCCTAAGCCTGAAGGGGCAAAAGAAGGAAATCGTTACAAGAATCTAGAGACTAAGGGACTGGATGCTGACAAAGGCCCATGGTGATCTCACAAGAAGGTTATTTCTCTCTCTTTTATTCTCTCTCCTTTCCCAGAATTGACAAATGGCTCTGGACTGAACACGGCTGTAGTACTTCATAGACTATAAGAAATAGAGCATGCCTTTAGCATTACTCACACAACTTTGCAAGTTTATTTAATAGAACTCAGATACCAAAGCTGATAAAACTCTAAAGATACAAATTGGACTTAACAACAGGACTTAATGATCCTGTCATGAATACAAACTATCAAGTATTTCCTCTTATAAGGATTCTTCATATTCTTATAAAAATCTATCCTGCTATGTAGCATGTATATACAAATGAGTTTGGGAATAGTTTGCTGAAAATATAAACATCAGAAAATTAGATGACATGGAAGGTTGGGAACCAACTTGTAATCCAGTCCACATTCATGGGAGCTCAATCTAGAACCTTTGAAGCTGAATGTTTTTCTATTTGCTTTTGCTTTTGAAACACATAATTTTAGAAGCTGAGATGCATATTTTAATCCAAATTCACCCTTCACATATAATTGATATTGTCATTTAATTTCACTGTAAATATCAATAGAGAAGTTATAATGCCTGTGAATATGGAGACTGAGCTAAACATCTCAGAGTAATGGGTTACTAGAATATCATGATTACAATATTGATTTTGTAAATAATACAAAAAGCTGACTCAGAAAGCTGCCTTGAGGTCTCATAATGACTCTGCTTGTGGGGCTCTGAGCTGAGTGAAGAGGTCTATAACTAAACTCACTGCCCTTGAAAAGCCTGCTCCCCTTCCTCTTTTTTTTTTTTAAATTATTATCAAAGACATCATAATTCTCTAATGATCTATAAAGAAAGTATTGAAATGATGTATTCGTATTCACTAATTTACTTAATCAATAATCATGTAAGCATATATTATACTGGAGAGAAAGACAAATGAAGCTGAGTAGGCCTCCTGAAGGACCTCAGACTGGAAGGTATGATGGAAAAGCTAACAGTGCCCTAAGTCTTATAATAAATCTTTGCTCAGTGAGTTGCTGTCATCCTGGAAAGACACCAAAGGACCCAATGTGTGTACATATGTGAGGAGGTTTACTCCGGGAAATGTTTACTCCCCTTTTCAAACAAGGAACACTTTATTTCTCAAACGCTTCTTGGAAATCATTCTTTCTTCTTTACTGTGGCTTCAGTTACCCTAGTCAAATACTTATTACCTTATATTTGGCTTATTTGCAATAAGTCTCTTAAGCTCCAATTTCTCCTGCCAATAACTTACCCTACATATTATGGCCACACGATCTTTTCTGGAGGACAGTGTCTGTACCCCACCTAATACTTGACCTCCTCATCTAGTCCTGAGTGTTTGTTTACCTTGTTCTCTCTGGAATGCCTTTCCTTGCTCATCCTCATTTCCATTTTTGGAATCTTGCCATTTACTCAAAGGCCAGCTAGGTGTAAATATTCTCCCTTCTAAGCTCTCACAAATTTTTATATTTTTCATAGTATTTATGTTAGTATGCTTTGCTTTATGTTTATGCTTTTTCTCCCTTGCTAGATTGTAACCTTTTTGAGGGCCTTGATTATGTCATTTATTTATTTTTCTGTGTTTCTCATAGCAACTGATTGGATATCTTTTTATATGAGGAGTAACAGGTTCAAATGTTTTAAAGTCAAATTACAGAAATCTTCCATAAATATTAAAGCAGACTATAGATGAACTCTAATTTCATCTGCTATTAACAAGTTTTGATGCTAGGTGGAATGACACTGAAAGGACATTAAACTTGTCTATTAGTTAAATTCTGTGATTAAAGATACAATTTAGTGAAAGCAGCAAAAGTTATAAATTTATACACATCGATATAGCAAAATCTCACTGAGAACATTTAACAGCCTCATATGTTTCCAGATGTGGGATCTTTTTTAGCCTGGATGTTGCATGTTGAAACCAGAACATTGAAGCAAAATACTTCACTTTTTAAAATTTTGTAATTTAATAGTTTCATTTTCATGTTAAAAATGATTCATACAGAGCATAATTTGAAACACAAACATCCTAACTTAAAAATGATCCATTTCTTCCCCACGTAGAGCTGTCAGAAAGGAGAGCTTCAGTAAACTGCATGTCACTATCAGCCATTGATAGCCAGTGATTTGTTCTGAATCCAAAGGCTAAACCAAACCTCATGCTGCTGTATGTCAGATACGATTGGTCCATAGTCAAAGTTTTACAGCGCAGACAGGGCACACTTTATCCTTCAGGCTGCTACTTAAGATAGCCACGACCCTGAGGAGAACCAGTCAACAAAACAGACAGACAAGAGGATGTGATTTGTATGCATCCCTGAGCCAGCTCACATCACCCCTGACCTGCAGGTCAGGCTGCAAATGACAGCAGAGTGCATGCACCTGATCAGACAGAATATTCTCATTATAGAGCCTGGGAAGAGAAAGAAACTCCTCTGTGTTTACCCTCAGACCAGCTGCAATCTACCTAGGAAATGAGCAAAAAAAAATGCTGATTTACCTCAAGAAAATGTGACTGACACATAAGTACCTTATAAAATTTTAAATCAATAATTTTTTGTCAGATAAACTTGTGTGAACACAAGATAATTATATAACACAAAGGAAGTTTAGCAATGGGAAGAAGTAGTTTGTTTAGTCACAAATGGACCATCCAAAGAAAACTAACCTGAAATGACTAACTCTTATTGAATTACAATAGGGCAACTTTTCCAAAAACATTTGGCCATGATCATTTGTTCATTTGTGTTAGAACAGGTTTTGGTTAAGCGTGAGTTTGAAATGGCGGTTCAAGCCTACAAATATCCCATCTTTTAAATAACTGAAGGTGGTCGCATTTTTATATTTTTAAAAGAAATCTGGGTTTCCAAAATGATCTATATTGATATGAGAATTACTTTGGAGGACGTAGACTAAATCACTATGTGTGGTAATTATTAAAAACAGGGAAGAGAAACTTAGTCTTGACTTATTAGAATTAGCTTTGCCTAAGGACAGTAGAATAGAAGAGATGATCTCTGGGAGGTCCCTGTGAGGACTCTAATTCCTAGTAGCAATATCCTAAGTACAGTAGCGACTCATCATAAAACTGTTCTGACATACCATGGATGAAATTTCACCATCCAAATTGTAATAATTACATACACAAAAAGTCCATCATTACACAGTTGGTCTGTAAAGTGGGTATTAATCCTGTTTCTGAAATACTTGAGTAATGAAAAGGAGCTTACTTACATATGTATACATTATTATAACATATTTCATCATAAACAATGTCTTTAGCTCTATACACACAAGAATACTGAATTGATGAATGTAATTATGGAGACAGAATCCCTTAGAGAGCATCAATGCAACCAACACTAATCAACAATGTTACTTTATGTCTCTAGCAACATGACATGGAAGGGTTGAATAATTCAACTTTCCAACAATAAGCATTATCTTTGTCCTTAGGCCGTATGGTCACAACTTCACAGACAATGTCTTATCTATCTTTGCATTCTCAACATGTAGTGCAATGCCTATTGGCTCTGAAAAAGACCTAGGCTTGAAGGCATCTAAGTGATCAGGCAATAAACCCTACCACTATTGTTTTCTAAGGCAAAACAGGCAGAATTCCTTCTCTTTCCTTTAATGTTCAGTTTGGCCTCTTAGATTTCTTTTTCTGCTGGGCTTATCCTTCATGTTTATAGAAATCAAATTTTAGCTTTAGTGTTTTTTTAAGTCTTTGGGCTGCAGAAATTTCCTGGAGATAAGGGAAAGAACATTCAAGTGTTAGCATGTATGCTAATCATGTGACCTTGGACAAATTACTTAAATATTCTGACAGGCATTTAAAAAAATTTTGGAATATATCTATAATTAGGCTTATCTCATAAGATTGCAATGAATATTAAATGAGAATGTATAGAAATTATTTATAAAATGTAAAATGCTATTAAATGTGAATCATGATTGTCCCCCCCTTTGGAGTGATTCAGATATCCAAGGATCCAGAGATCCAAGGTTTTGTAGTCAAATAAAGGAATTTAGTCTAGTAATACAGAACTAGTAATAAGTCTTGCTATATGTTCTGTACACCAACTCATGATGTGATGTTAAATATCAGAAAGTAGAAAAAAGAAAAGAATATGGTATTCGTGGCCAAGGGTTGTCAAATTTAGCAGATGAAAAGATAGATACAGAGTTAAATTTTAATTTCAGAGAAAGAAAAACTATTTTGAAATATAAGGAAGTTTCATATAATTTTCAAATTTAATTGGTGTTCTGTATTTTATCTGTCAGTTCTACTTCTGGCATAAATAAACAATCTAAAGACTTAATTGTAACACAACTTTGGTCTAAAACAGTCTTGACTTCCTTGTTAAGTGAGTCTTATTATTTTATCTTCATTTGAACTGTATGATTGCACAGATTGACAGGTACCTACCTAGGCATTAGCAGGCTTAGATCCATACTCACCATTTTATACTGTCCTTTGTATTGCTAGGATTGGAATTCTGCAAACTCTATGTTCACAGTTCCTTTACTATCTAGCTTGCTATTAAGTGTTTGCTAATGTGATGCACTGCAGGTAACTAGAAGGTGAGGAGAAGGGAAAATTCCCCTTCCCCTCTACTAGTTTCCAGTGGTAGCAGGTGTGGATGATTAGGAGAGATCGCAGATGGCCATGGGCTTCAGCAGCAACAGCACTAATTTTAGGTTCTTGGCTACTTGTATTGTGGCAGTAGTGTGATTCCTATAGCAGCAGCGGCAGAAAAGGCCATGCCTCCAGGGAGCTCAGCAGTGAGTGTGGGCCATGAGACCACACTTAGGCCCTGTGCTTTTCTAGTTTTCTTCTATATTCTTCTTGCTCTTTCAGTTTTTCTGGTTAGTTTGTGATCCATTCCCTGTATTAAAATCCTGATGTGCAAAATACCTGGAGTGGTTTCGGTTTTCTTGACTGACATTGACTGATATAAAGGTTTGTTAGTGGAAAAGTCTGAGAACCCCTGCTAAGGCATGACTCTTTTAAACCACAAAGACCGTTTAGCATGGAGATTTTGGGAATGAGTCTACAATTACTTATAGGCTAAGAGGAAATAAGATCCACATCAAAGGAGTTCTCACACGGCAAGGGGGAAGGTAAACATTTATGATCAAATTTTGTGTCCTTCGCCACCCGTGAATAATGACTTGACTAGACTGTCATTAACAGTAATACATGCAATATGAGAGAAAACAAAGTAATAGATACCATTAATATAAAATAAAACAATTTTCCCTGAAATTCTATCCAGAGGGAAACTTATTGGAAAGGTAATCTACATTTCACATAATTATTTTGTTGAATTGATTTTGTTTGGTTTACTTCTCTGCTCTTGGGTGGATCAAAGCCTTAACTAATAGAAAGTTTTCAAAATACCTTTTAATTTAATCTGCTGCAATATTTTATTATCTTACAGTCAAGACGTTATATCTTATCTCTAATTAAATTTTCTTTTCTTGAAACTCCAGTCTATTTGCTCTTTATCTTTTCCATACTTGAGAAGAAGAATGCATATTCCTGAAGTTAATTAATCAGTAGCCCCTTTCCTTAGTGACCCCCTTTTTTCAGGTGAAGACATCTCAATTCCATTGACCTTTAGGCATGGCTTTTGTTTCCATCATGTTACATGGTTCTCTGGACTGAGTATAATTGATATGGACTTGCTCATTTTAACTGCCACAATTAGAGCTAAGGTTTCTCTAATTTCATTAAAAAGGGTTGTCTAAGTTATTTAAAAGAAAAATATTTGTTTTGCTTTCACAAGAATGCAAAAATTTGTATGGAGAATATATGACTAAAGTATGAATGCAGCTAGAAATTAATCAAGAGTATTGATCTAACTTCACAAAATGCTTTCTAAAGTCATAGCGTGGTGGTGCTTTCTAAAGTCAAAGCATAGGTGTTTCAAAATTATCCTAATTCAAAGCAGCATATTTCCTCTTCTTCAAGAAAGCCTTCTAAACCAAGTCTAGAAAGCCAAGTTAGTTAAGTGCACTCACTAAGGAAACTGTAAAAAATCTGGCTTGAGATAGAGACTGAACTGAAACAAATAACAAAACATTGGTTGTTGGTTTTTGTCATTTTTGTCCTGAAAACACTATACCCTTAAAATATTGAAAACTTAATGAAACCCTCAAAGGAAAAAAAAAAGTGTTCATTTTTATAAAGACTTTTATTCAACTATGTTGTAATACCTGGCTCAGGGTCATGCACATAGTAACTACTTAATGCATGGTATAAAATTAATTATTAAATATTAGCAACAACGGTACATTTAAAGAAGTAGTTTATTAAGGCCGAGCATGGTGGCTCACGCCTGTATTCCCAGCACTTTGGGAGGCTGAGGTGGGCAGATCGCTTGAGCTTAGGAGTGAGACCAGCTTGGGCAACATGGCGAGGACCCCCTCTACAAAAAATAAAAAAAATTATCTGGGCATGGTGGCAGGCGTCTGTAGTCCCAGCTACTGGGGAGGCTGAAGTGGAAGGATCTCTTGAGGCAGGAAGGCAGAGGTTGCAGTGAGCCGAGATCGCGCGACTGCACTCCAGCCTGGGCGACAGAATGAGACTGTTTCAAAAACAAAACCAAAAATAAACAACAACAATAAAAAAAAACAAAAAAAAACACATTTGATTTTCAAACTATATCCAGGTTACTGAATTTTAAAGTTTGTAATGTTTATATAACTGCAGAGGTTTTAATGTGATTTTTTTCGGGGCTTGGTGAGGTAGCAATGTTAATGCTTTTAGATTGATATTAATAAGCTTCTTGTATTACATAGTAACTTTTACCTTACTGATTTAATATTGTTTACTTTATCTGAGTTTACTAATTAGGAGTCATTGACTAATAATCTGGTAGAATTTGGTTTTAAGTATTATAATATTGGACTGAAATCAAAGGACGCAAATGCAAAAATCATAAAGTTACAGTACTGAGGTTTCTTTCTTTTTCCTATCCTCCATTCTACTCCCTTCTTCCCTCCCCCACTTCTCTCTCTCACTCTCTCTCTGTTTCCATTCATTGTATCTATTGACCAGGAAATTTTAGTATTACAAATTCAACATCATTTTTTAGTACCTAATATAAAATCATAAAATCACCTATAATAATGGGTGAGGAAGGGAATTTAGGCTTCAGAGTAAGATTCATTGTGATTTTACTTTATTAGCTATGGAACCTGAGCATATTACTTCATCTCTGAAAGTCTCAGTTTTGTCATTCACAAAAATCTAGAAATTTGCACCCCCTTCAGATTTTATGGTGAGAATGAGACCATGTATATAAATACTTAGCTTCATACTAAGCACCAAGATTTATAATTTATTATGATTTTGTTGTGCTTCAGGTACCATAGATGAATAAGACAAAGTCCTTTCTCCACTTTGACTTTTCTTCTATGAAGAATGAAATTGTTGGATGGTCTATAAGTTTCCTTTCAGCTGCAAAATCTATGGATTTATAACCCCTTCTTTCTTAATGTATGCTCATGTCATGGGGATACCTACATGGTCAACTGGTCTTTCTTAAATAACTTGCAGGTGAATGAATGTTTTGAACAAGAGATGCATGAGCCAAATACTAACCCCATGACCTGGGTTCAGACCCTTTCACAACCCAGACTGAACTAACAAATCTGTGGTATTAATTCACTGAAAGTAGTTTTACAATTTTAATTAATGAAAAGATTTTGGAGTAATCCAAATAATCCAAGAAAACAGATTAAACAATAGCAGCCACAATAGCAACCCTGTCTTCCAGAAATATTGTAAAGAATGAGTCAAGTGAAATTTTTACAGTGGCAGATTGGCTGACAATAGCTAGATCTTAACAACAGTAACATTTATTGAGCTCCTATTGTATATACAGTCTTCAAGAAATCAAAGGGCAGGAAAAGAATGTGATGGGATTTGGATGCTAATATCTAAAACGCCCTTCTAAGAGGTCCTTCTAGACGCTCCAGCACACATACTGCCTGTTTCTAATGAACTTATTATTGAAGATTCTCACAGACATCTTATAGAAGAGGTCTATGTCTGATTCCTTCTTCTTCTTTTTTTTTTTGTTTTAATTGCTAATGTCCAGCCTCATTACTTGGATGAAGGAGATGCTTCAATGAATATTTGTTGATAACAACGGTAAAAACAGGAGTAAAACTTTGGACGATGTCAATAGTTTATAGGATAAATTCTGAGATATCACAACTTTCAAACATGCAGGAAGCCTCAGGGAATAATAAGGATTATTTCTTATTTAGTACAGTTTAAAAATATGAAGAGCATATTTCACATATATTCCCACAATGAGAAAACTAACTGAAGGATTTTTATTTTCAAAATTAACCAAGTCTTTTGTTTGGGAAATGACATTAAAATTTTCAACAAGAAAGTCTCTCTTCCCACTGCCAGAAGTTACAATATTGAAAACATATGAAAGTTCTAGTTTCTGCCACAAATAAATATTGAACTGGTCAATTTGAATTTTTACTCTCTGTATGAATGGATATTCTTGAAAAAAAATTATTTAAATAAGTAATGTCAAAGATTAATTTGTGAATATTTTAAAAGAATACTCTTTGCTTTTTAGTAGTTATGTGATAAAATTCATAAATGTATTATGATTACTCATATGTGGCTCAGGATGGTTCTTTCTTTCTTTGATGATCCATTCTAATAACTGAACAGCATCTCCCAAATCAGAGAGGCTTTCTTCAGATAGTACCCTTTCCTTCCTCTTTGTCTCACAAGAAAACTAGTGGGCATCAAACTTGACTCTTGGAAAGGCACTGCAAACTCTATGAATTTCTACCCAAGCACTGAAGAGTAAGACAATTAAGACAATTGTCAACAATTAAGACAGATAAAAGCAAGATTAGAGTTACTTTCTGGCACAGTGACAGCTACAGAGATGGTTTTTAGTCTTTGTAAAAATGTGCTTTTGGGTTTAGGGTTTCATCACTTCCTTCTATTCATCTGAAATGAGTGAATACATATGTAAATAAAACATCTACAAGAATTCTTATGTAAATAAAAAAAATATAGCATTCAGAGAAAGAAAAGAGCAGTTGATAAAGGAGAGCCAGTGCTGTGCGGCTTTGTGAACAAGGGAGGAAAGGATTTCTTTGTGCCACAACAAAACGTAACCCTGCCCATGAAAAGAAGGAGACAGGCTAGTTTCTGCTAAAAGCCAGGCTGCATGTAACTGACCCAGTGGAGGAAATCCTGGTTCTGTCTCTGGGGCTCCTTAGCGGTACTACGTGGATCGTACAGGTATGCAAGATACCTGTGTTTGTTCTGCTGACCTGGGCCCCAGCAGTGGGGCACATTTTTAAAACAAAAGCAAAATAACTACCAATTATTTTTAAAACTATATTTAAGAATTATATTTAAAACTGTTTCTACTGAGTTCTATTATTGTTTAAAAATAAAGACAAGCTAATAAACAAATTATGCCTTTAATAAGTTGTTGCATCTTTGTTGTAATGCTGCTGGTTGCTAACCAGAGGAGAATGTACTTCCTTCTCTCCTATCCTCTCAGATTAGTGTCCTACATGTACATTTCCAAGTTCCCCATGGAGCTGGGCATTTTAAAGGGTGAATTAAACTGGCACCACTTGAGCAAAGTATCAATCACCCTTTGAAGTTGGCAGCCTCTCAACATATTTTTATGAAATGTTACGTTACTTTATGACAATTCTCATCCTGGCATAAGCTGTGATCAGTTATATATGGGAAGCAAGGTTCTGTGAAACAATCACAAACAATAAAGTCAATAATCTGCAAATTATGGACATTGATGCTTTTTAAGATTAGAGTAATAAAAATAGCTAATCACTGTCTTATGTCTTTTTATCAAAAATCTTAGACAATGAAAATTGTGAAGGTATTGCTTTCATCTTATGTTGCTGATCTTTCATTTGCTACACAGCAATTGTTAGGTTTAAATATGTGAGATGAAACATTTCTTTCAATAGACTTAATGTTAAGCACTTGAGTGAAAACATGAGTCAAATGTTTTACATTAATTTTCCTTCCTCCCTCCAGTAATGTAAGATTTTTGTGACCTGAAAGTTATGCAAATTTGCAAGTAGGTTAAAAAAGAAAAGTAACCTTATAGAAAGAGATCCTCACAGTAATTATTCTGATGCTTCATTTGTTTGCAATTTTTTTTTGGCTATAGTTTGGATGAAAAAAATACAAACCTCCTTTTATATGGCTTTAGGCTTTGTATTTATTTATTTTTTTAATTTGAACCAACCATTCAAAAATGACATGAAAAATCTGTCATTTGTTACAAATTAATTAATCAAAAAGTTAATAAGAACTCTTATAGCTAGTAAAAGAACCGCTTTAAACAAGGTGAAAACAATCAGGATAAAAAAAATTCCCATATAGGGTAAAATGCACCCACAAATAAGTAAGGACCAATTGCTACTCAATGCACAAAAATAAGCAAAGATTCAAAAGCAGAGATAAAGCTATTAAGAGTAGCTTTATCCCAAAGGTAATTATTGCTAATGCTTTTTAGGATGGGAAAAAATCCTACAGTAACTTTCAGTATGAATCTCATACTGAACCCCTATAACAACTTTGATGTGTTCTCACTATAACTCGGCTAATAGAAAAGGCATCCTGCTTTCTAAATATCACACCTGCAGTTGTCTACTCTTGGGAATCATTCAATTCATCAGTAAACACAACCCACATGCATCAAAAGTTTCCACTTTTTCCAGCTCTTTTTAACACTAGGATCCCTCCCCTCTCCCCAGGCTCCTTGCAGCTATCTAGGGAATCTTTCACTTTTTGTCCTTTCCCGACCCTTCTGGACCACATTTTCTCTTCTTATTCAGGCCATCTGCTCTCAAGGAAGGTAAAAGTTCTGCTAGGAAAACAATCAGCATCCCTAGCCATTAGTTGCTTTTGTGAAATATCCTTTTAGCCACTGCCTATGAAGACATACATTGTGCAAATCACAATTCAAATTATGATGGTCGTTTAAAAATAGTTTGTAATTGATACATTTCTGGCCAGAGCCTCCCCCTTTACTCTGGTAGTGGTACAATCTCCTTGTTCTTGACAGAAGTCTTTCTAAAGGCCTGCTCAAGCCTCACTAAGCAGCTGTGAGTTAGGTCATTTTCCCAGGAGTTTTACATGTGGAAAACTGGGCATTAGTAAGGCCTCAAAAAGGACACCATCTGGCCCTAGTGAAAAAAAGGATCATGACACTTCCTGTGGTACCAACAGACCCTGATGAACCAGAAAGGAATTCAGTCCTGGACTGTGATCCAATAGAGACCGGCCCCACAATCACCTCCGTGACAGCCAACTCCATTCATCTTAGCAGTTATCTCATAGCACAATGGACTTTTGTGCCATGCTGTTTACTGGAGGCGGAGTAAAATCCATTTTGATTTTTGTGTTTAGTCTCAGTGCCTGTCCTCTTTCCTGGAACACATACCACATCAGGAGAGACTGAGCTGCACAAAGAACAGTTCTTTCGGTTCCCATTCAAACTTCTTAATTTCCCTCCCACTGTACATGGGGCATAAGAATAAAATGCTGGACTCTTCAGAGGCTTCAGAAAATACCTTTTCTTGACATGAAGAGCCTCTCCTCCCACTTTCAATAAAATTTTTTGAAACTATTGAAATCAATCACTTTTTTCAGAGAAGAAAATTTAAATTTAAACAGATAAAGAAATTATTACTAGAAGTGTTTCACTGACTCCATTTAGTGTTTGTGTGTTGAAAGATTCTGTTAAAAACTACAGCAACAACATCAAGTAAACCAGGTTTTCTTTTCTGAAAAGAGAAGTGACTGACCAAAGCAATAGGAGGGTGAATGCTGGTGACATCTTACATTGTTCTATAGTTGTTTTCAGCTTACAAAGTCTTTTTATATTTTCCTTTTCAAAAGATAGAAATGGGGCAAGTTGGATTAATACAATCAAATCTTTAATTGTTAAACTTTTTTCTTTGAAGATATTACAAAACAAACAACAAGGAAACCTCTTAATTAACTCATTCTCAACAACTACATGTATATACTTTTTAAACGTAAAATATTATTTACGGTGGCCGATTACAGACCCTGAATGTGGTCATCTCAAAAATGAACTGTTGCCATTCAGGATAAATAGGGGCTTCCATCTGAGGGCTTTTATGTCATGTGGGCGGCAGCACAATGGGGAGGAGATGGCTGTAAAGGGAAGGTGCTTTCTTAGGTCCGAGAGCTCTCTTCTCAATTCTAACCAGATTCATCTTCATTATCCACCTTCCATCTTTTTTTTTTTTTTTTTTTTAATTCTTGCAACCCTATGATACTAAACCTCATTTTGTCTGCCACTGGGGCTTCGTCTGTACACAGATCTGAATCCTCCCCCACTGTTGGAACCTTCAATAGAAAGCCATATTGCCACACAAAGGGACTTGGGGGTTAAAGAAAACGGTTAAGGCCCATCGTTTTATTCTCAGAATTTAACTTGGGGAGGGGAATAGAGAGGCTGCTCTTCTTCCAAATAAATTTCTCCTGCCTCAATTTTGAAGAACTTAAAAAGCCAACACAGAATGAGTAGAACTTAATGAAGGAAAACATTTTTCTGACTCTCAGTCCCTGATGGAAATGATCAGGCTCTATTGTGGGAAGACATAGCTGTTCCTCACTTATTAACATGTGTGTCCAAGGCCTAATTATAGGCATTCTCTTTTAATGTAGAATTGTCACCATTGGTGTTATTCATAAAGTGCCCATTGTGAGAAGTTCAAAACCGCAACCTTTATCTGTAGTCATCAGTGAATTTTCTCTGGATTCTGTAACCACTGGCAGCATATTATGACTACAAAGCCCAAGTTTTTGTGTATTACACTCCTCGTGTAATAATGAAAATGCCTGCAAGTAACAGCTTGATTAGAAATGAAGTGGGGCGGCAAGTGGGGGGCGGGCAGAGGGGAGAGTAGAGAGAGTTTCTATTTTGAAAGATCTAAAGCAGAGTATGAAACAGCCAGCATCCTCTTGCTGAAATGTCTGCACAATTACGCACACAGTTATGAGTTACAGTCTTTCATATGATGTGTCTCACAGCTTAAGTAAGAAAACTACCAAGGAAACTTTGAGGTAAGGGCCAGCAGTTAGGGCCACAGACCTCAGTGCCTGAAGGCTGGTTGAAAAGAGTAGGCGAAGCTGAGCCACGAGGCTCAGGGAGGGCATGGGATGCAGATATTTGGAAAACTGCCTTTGAGGTAGCAGAGGCAATTCCCTAAAACAGAAAGAAAAGGAGAAGAAAAAGGAGTAAGCTCACCAGGAGGAGGAGGAAGCCCACAGTTTCCTCAGTGCTGCTGAACATAAAAGCCACTTAGATGCTAGAAAAGGGGGTGAAAAATCCAGACTTACACAGGCACATAAATGTTCAGTAATTTGGGACACAGACTCATTCTTTCCATAAAGATCATAAATACTCCCTGTAAGAGTAATGAAGTTTATTTTTTTCTTTTTTAAACAAAAGAACCATTGAACACCCCATAGGTCATAAAATAATTAATTTTACCTATTATCTCTTCGGCCACTTTTCTTAGCATTGATTTTTACATCATTAACATGTTTGCTTAGTATTAAATAATTTTAGGGGACTAAAATGTTAATTAAAAATATAAGTGACATCTCAGTTGCTAGGAAGGCCAGTGAGAACATTGTTTTAAACTGGAGGCTTGTGCGGCTCCCCCCACCCCACAGAAGCTCTGTTTTAAGGCAACAGTTTGCTAGGAAGAAAACGACAAAACCAGAAACAATTTGCTCCTTAAAGGATTTGAGAATGCTTATGTTGGAGGCTTACAAAAGCGGCGTTATGTCCTTGAACATTCTAAAGATCATTGTTAATAGGATCAATTTTTGTGTGTTATTCAGCTGGATCGTTCGTAGATTGTAAGAACTGCATTTTAGTAGGGCACATGGTGGTGATGGGGGTGGGGGTGGGGGGAAAGGGAAGGCCCAGCAAATTCCATGTGATCAGTTCAGCTGCAATAATCTCTTTTCTCCTTCTTGACGAAGCCACACATGAGAGCACTCTGGTGTCTTTCATCATTATTTGTCACCCTTTTGTGCAAAACAACTTATATCCACAGCCATTCCAGCAATTAAAATGAAAAAGAACCAAACAGTATTCTCATTGAATACTCAGAGGCCAGTGCCACCAAGTGCCATCCAACCTATTGAATGTCAGATACCTAATGCCATTAGAGCTCTGTAAGTATTTTGTGAAAAAATAAATAAATAAATTGTTACATGCAGAATGTAGAGAATGATTTACAAAGATAAAATCTTTTAATGCCCTGGCAACAGCTAGATCATCTGTAACAGACTCTCAGTGACAATGTGAAGGAGAACTAAGCAACCGACAGGGATTCAGACTCACTTCAAAAGACTGAGAACTTTGAATTTTGGTAGACAAGTAGTCACAGGGTAAAGTCAATTAAACAAGAATAAGTTAATTTTGTTTCTGTTGAAATATTCTCTGAAAATCACAATGAACATTTTATTAGCCTGATTTTTATTAAATACTTCTCCAAAACTATAATGTGCCACCAATTCCAAGAAAAGTACACTTTCATTCCTTTTTCTGAAAAAGGGCAAACTCAAAGAAAGTAAAGATAAACCAACTTCCCCAATACCACAGACAGAGAGAATCAGGGTTGAGGAATGATGATGCCTTGGGCAGTGGTGTTAATTTTGGACCACACACTCCAGGAAAAGAAGAACCAGGAGGGAGATTTTCTCATTCCATATGCCACATATTTTTATGTGATTTCCATCTGAAAACTTTAGGGTTACTACAAGATCATCAATTTTGAATCAATGTATTTGTTATTCTATTCGGGTGTCATTTTTAGAAAATATTATTAATAATGTTCTCTGAAATACCAAGAATGTACTTTACTGAACATTGTAATACAAACTACTTATAGATCCTTGTTCTGCATTACAGTTTGGTTAGAAAAATATATGTTTAAAAACGTAATTAGCATTTAAGGTAACATGTTGCTGAAATTCTGAGGAGGTATCAAGAACTTGAGTAGACAAAAAGAACCTTCTGGAGAATGTCCTGATAGACGAAGGAAGCAAAAGAGAGCCTGAGTGAGCAAAGGGCCAAGGCATGTCAGAGATGGCAAAAGTGATTAAAACCTAGTAAGCACCTTATACCAAGACACTCCCACCTGCACAGCAACGTCTAGAAAGGGCTTCGTTCTCTTATTGCAATTTTGATGCTGAGTAAACCTGTTTATCTAATGCAGAAGGGTTGGAACCAGAATTCCCAAATTGTGATTTGTACTTTTATGCTAGGGGCAGTGGAGTCACTGAAGGGTTGTCAGCAACAGTAGACTGTCTTCGGCTGACTTGGACACAATCATTGAAAATGGCCAAATGCTGAGGGCAGAGGTGAGGCATATAGTTCAGTATTGCAGGAGAAGGAAGTGAGAACTGTTATTTTTCCCACCACATGAGAGAAATGTCAGAAGAGCTTCCCCCAACATCCCAAAGATCCCCATCAATGATCTTTAGGACCACTTGGGGTGGTTGAGGGCTGGCCAGATTGTGGTCCCAAAAAGCCCATTTTGTGTAACACTCTCAGGGTGCATCATGACTAGGAAGAAAACAGCAGATACTGGACGTTTCTTCCCTTCTCCTAAGCTGGGATTTGGTAACAATCTCTTTACAACCTTTTGGGAATGCAAAATTCTAGAATTGGAAGAGTAAACTTTTATACTTAACATTCTTCCCCTGTAATTTCATAAAGAAACCTGCATGGGGAGTCACTGTGGCTTTTACAGATCACTTTAAAGTAACTACATAACGTTTATAAATGGCAAAGATTTCAGATGAAGCCCTGCTAAGGTTCCCCCAAAATGTCCTTGTTTCTAAGAACAATAATAATAACAACAACAAAAGGAATTGGAATAAATTAAGTAGCTAGCCTGGGTTGGTGCAGGTGGTTCTGCTGCTGAATAATGATTGAGTATGTCCCTTTAAAGTGACCATATTTTCTTGGTGCATTTTGTTTTTGGCAAAATATATGACTTTGAGATTATCAGTAGGGAGTAGCTGGCAATTTGGCTTTAATTTTTGTAAACTTTCTTGAATGCTTAATTGTTTGCTAAGATGTCAGCTGCAAGATTAGTGGAGCTGGAAAAAAAAAAAAGCCTGCATTCACATTGGCCCTATGTCTATTTTCAGTGTGAAAGGAACTGGCTGGAGAGTGTTGCAAACACTTGAAGCTATGCATTCTGCATTACAATGAAATGGTGCTGTATTACACAATACCGAGGGTTTCTTTCTTTTTTTTTTTTTTAAAGGGCATCATATCCAAGCCCTTTGAATGCACAGCAAGAGCAACAGATGACAAATATTAGGATGTGCTAAATGCCAGAACAATTACATTAAAATGGATTTCTTCCAGAGTGAATCCTCTCCAACTTCTATTTGGTAAATAATTAGATTGAATACACAAGGACTCTTAAAAAATACTGGAAGGAAGCTGAGTCAGGATTTTAAAAAACAAACTAACTTATCTTTACATCAAGAAAATGGTGTCTGGCGATGTATCCACAGATCAAATGTGTACAGGTCTCATGAAATTTATGAAGGTGTCATTTAATGTAGTCTTCTACCTATCTGTGAGAAAGAAAAATGTCATGAAGTATACTCACAGTTTGAGTTTCTTTTCCATATCTTTTAGTTATTGTAAATACAGGACCTTTAACTTTCTTGTACTAGGGGAATCCCTGAAAATGATGCATTTACTTCCTCTCTCAATAATTCTTTTTTCAAAGAGCAATATGTATTATTTTTAAAGTGAAAATAAATGAAATTTAGCAAAATCACTTAGCACTTTAGGAACAAATAATAAATACATCTGTAATGCAATTTAAAATGTCTAATTATATTTAATTCTAGTGAAGTAAGCAGAGTTAGGACTGAAACGTCCAGTTCTTTATCCACAACTCCAAATCAAGCACGCAAATATGTTTGCTATCTGATGCATGGTAAAGAAAGGAGTTATTGAAACTTATATAAAGCATATTTTAATATTCGTGGGCTTAGAGCTCTATTTTCTAATGTATATTTTCTATTTAGCTTCTGTGATCCCTTCAGGTGGAAATATCTTTTCTTTTGGACTTCCATAACACTTCTGATCTATGAGACATTTGGCAGTTGTTATATTTTGCTGTGTTAGCTACTTTATTTTGGTGGTGGTTGTAAGGGGGAGCTCTGTTTTATTTATCACAAAGCACAGAGTCTGACATATAGTAAATGCTCAATAAATATTTGTAGCGTGAAGGAATGAGAGCATGAAGGTTATGTGTATGTATTTGATCTCCTGAAAAAGCATCCAGCTCCTGGAGGGCAGAGAAGGCACGCTACACTTTTGTTGCCTTGCCCCTGGCACCTGGTGCCCTGCTGTGACAGATTATACGGTAGAGTGACAGCATACATTTGATAGTGACAATAACTACTATGAAGAGGAGAGACCAAGAGAAGAGATGAAGCCAGGGAGGAAATAGAAGAGAAGAGAGAGACAAAACAACAAAAAAGGAAAAGCTAGTGCAGAGAACCAAGCTCAGGTCCAGCTTCACCCTTGTATTAACTCAAACTTTTCCCTGTTTTAGTCAAAGGGGAGATGAAAAGCATGAGAGGAGGGAAATTCAGAAAGTAGAAGAGCACACATTATGCCTGAGATTGTGATCAGTATTCCAAATTTACCAAACCACTTGCCAATGTATGGATGGCAAATATTTTTAAACAGTTCCTAATTTAGTAAACTTAAACCATTATTTTGTATTCTAAAGTTATTGGGAAATTGAAGTTTATTAGATATTGTAGAGAATTTCAAAGAAGTAATCCATAAAACTTGAGAAAGTATAATTATTTTTTCCTAATGAGTACACTTAACAGGCTACAAACTCTCAAATGTGATACATTTGGCAAAGAATAGGCCCTGTCATGAAACCTGAAAGAGGTCTATGCCATTATTAATCTGCTACCCAGGCAACACTTTTTGGGCCTTAATGAATAGCCTCTAATTGGCTGGGATTGGCCCACATACCCAGGAGCTATTCACAAAATACATTTTCATCCCCCAAACTTCACATCTTTCTTGCATCTGCCATAGAGGAAGATTATCCTGCTCGCATTATAGCACGGTTTTACTAGTTATGACAATGACTGATATAAGTAATTACTCCATTAAGATTTAAAAATATATATTTATGATTGTATACATATAATATAAACATACTAATAAAAAGAATAATTATTGAATTACAAATAACTTTGATAGTAAGGGACATGTATATTCAAAACATAGATCACTGATTCTCGGAGCCTAGATAACACAGCTACTCAGAAAAAAAAAAAGGTACTTTCTTTTTCATTGTTACAAAAAACAAGATGTGAGAAGATTCTATTTTTATGTGTTTAATAATTGACCTAAGGGTTAAGGAGGGAATCCTTTGATTCATCTACTGGTGATATTTGAGACACCTGAGGGTAAGGACCGTGGCTTCCCCATTTCCTTGTCTCAGGATCCTTGGCAATGTGGAGTACTCTCCTAGGGAATCTCCACAGGGTGAGGTGTGTAGGTGAATGGGCACAGCAGAGGAGCAGAGGGCTGAAGAAAACTGCCGACTCTCCGCCTCACCCACATTCCACAGGCATCAGGCTGCATTAGCTCAGCAATCCCTCCTCTGCTCTCTTCTCTAGCACCTCTAGGGACCTCTTGAATACCTTCAATTGTTTTATTATTTGCTTGTTTATTGCTTCAGGGATGCCTTTCTATAAAATGTTTAAAAGCTTTAAAAAATCTGTAGGTGAAAGGATAGCATATTTGTGGTAATGTCTAGAAGCATTTTGGTAGGGATCTCTGGGAAAGAAAACATGACTCCATAGTATAACTACCTCCCTCTAATGTAAATAAAATTAAAATTCACTAACTGGGCCACAATGCCTTTTCCATGAACACAGCCCTCTCTGTGTGTGATGGCTTCCTGTACCCCAGCACCAAGACTTTGTTGTCAACTTAGAACTCCACATCTTGGATGGCCTGCTAGAGGACATCATTGATCCTTAGACAAAGAGGGTTCTGCCTCAGAAAGAAGGCATGGCCAGAAACAGAGACCTTTGTGAAGGGTTGCAATATGAGGCACACAGGAAAAAAAAAATCAAAGGAATAAAGGAATGAGAAGTAGGAGAAAGAAAGGACCAGGTGAGTGTTGTCAGGAGAAAAGTATCCAAACAAAGGCTGGCTTGTGTGGCAATCTGATGTTGTAAAAGATTTTGCATGCAGATGAGTCATGTATAATCATCTTGGACAGAAAAAAGAAAGAACCAAAGGGGTTTCCTGGAATAGGGCAAGGTGACATTAATATGTAAATGAAGTAAAAATTGGGTAAGTGAAGGTTTCATTCAACATGATAATGATGCAATGTGTATTCCTGCTATGGTGCTTATCTGAAGATAGTTTTAATCCTCCTGAAGAACCTGATAGCCAGATACTTATTCTTGAAGTACTATTGTTACTAAGTCTCAGATCTCTAGGAGGGTATAATTTTGTAACTCCAGAATGCCCTGCACCATTGCTGAAAAATTTAGAAAACACTGTTTCTTCTTTGCAAGTAAGTGTTTGTATTTTAACTAGGGAGGAAATGAGATAATTGGACTTTTGGGTGTTTTGTGTGGGAGGAGGGATAAGGAATTGAGATGGGCAGGGGGAAACAGATCGTGGGGAAAAAGACAGAGAAGCATCACAGAGTAATCTGTAGGAATCAGAAGTCCATGGGGAAAGAAGACACACAGCAAAATTTGGTGTCATAACTGCACTTCATGACAAGGCTGTAAAGGTGCTACGTTGCTGTGCACCTGGCAGCCCACTATAGGCTTTTCTGTTATTTTTCTTGCTCCTAAAATGTCACATCACTTATACTATTTTTAATTCTTTGTCAGTGGACACATAATTGGCAGAGAAAACTGAGAACAGAAATTTTCTCAGAACATCCTGGTTATGATTTACAAGCTTCTGATTTTTCCTGTCATGGAGAAAAGTACCTGAGAACAAGAGCTGGGAAATGCTTAGCTGGTATCAAAATTCCTTTCTTTGTATTGAAAGCTGCAGCATTCAATCATTTCCAAGAATATTCAAGACCAAAACTGGCATAAAATTTAAGGTTGCTTCCATCTAAATATGATATTTGGGATTTTCCCAATAGAGCAATCAAAATTCACATTTCTAAATCAGCCAAATTTTCATGCTTTGGGATTTTATTATAGATTGAAAATATGACAACTATTTTCCTTTTAAATTGTATTTATTATTTTATTTTATATGTAACACACATCAGTTGTGACATGTTGAAACAGTACCGAGGTATATAATGAGAAAATTATCACCTCTCCACCTATTGCCATTTCAATGAGGCCAACCTTATAAATGCTTGGTGTGCATCTTTTCAGACCTTTCTTCTTGCTTATACCAGCATGCACAAACATATCTATGCATATATAGTTGTGCTTTCTACAAAAATAATGCCATATTGTATACACTTTTCTGAAACTTGGTTTTATTTTAACCTAATAGTAACATATAACAAATATCACCATGGTTAGGTACAGACCCAACTCATTCTTTTTATAACAGCAGCATAATAATATTCCACACCACAGAGGTAGCATCTCTTCAGCCATTTCCCAATTAATGTGCATTTAAGTTTTGTACAGCTTTTCTTTTCAATTGTCATAGGAAACCTCTGGAAATATTTTATACTATTTGTTACTACTTCATATTAGAAGACAAGTCAACCAGAATTAGCATAAATGTGAGACAAGGCTGTAAATTAGGAGAGCCTCAATAGCTGCTACACTGGGTGCATATGGAGAGGGAAGCTGGTTTTGAAGTTTGTATGTAAAGAGGAATTTAAACCTAAAATATACAGGTTTGTGTTACTGAAATAGGATTTTCAGACACTCAGAAAACTAGTGAAAGAAACTAACAGATAAACAGGACCGTGTACATTTATGGTGCTTTCTTCCAAGAAAGGCCAAGTGCTTTACAGCCATTCTAACTGTTACGAGTTAGAAATGAGGGTACTTGTATATCACAGAAGGGTGTAGGAGAGAAGAATAGGAAACCAAGTCTCCCAATACTAAAAATAGACTAGGTATACATTGCTTAAAGAACACACAATCTCCTAAATTCTGAAGAGGAAAAGAATGAGCTGAGGGGTTGTAATACATGTTCATAAAGGGCTCTGCTTTACAAAAGGACTTACCACTGAGTTTCTGAAGCAACCTATGCATGCTGAATGGCCCAGGAGCAGGGCTTCATGAGGACATGCCTATGGCCTCAGGAACAACTCCAGACTAATGCACTCTACATCTAAGCATCCACCACCTATCACGCACATTCAAAAGTGAACAGAGAGTAACACTGACTCACCACTCCTTTGGGATATCTAAGAGTTCCTGTAAATAGAAAGCTCTGTAAGTGCATTTAAGATCTAATTAATTTAGAAAAAAAGAGATTTAGGATAAAGCGAGGTCCATATTTATTCTGAATTGTGGACCTGCTAAAATAAAAGATTTCTCTGAAAAGGGCGAAGTTCACTCAGAATAATAAAATCATTAACAGATAGCAATCAGTTGAATAGTGTAGGCTGGTCAACTCAAGTTTCAATCTTGTCTTTAGGTTAAATTGATAATCTGATTTTGGATGGATTTACCCCCTAATTTGTTCATTTTCCAATTCTTAATACATGGCAGTGGATGGCAACTATTATGCTCCGCATTTCTGTGTAATGATGAAAAACTGCTATTATCAGTCTTATATTTGAGGTTGGGGCAGAGGCTGGCTAAGCTGCCCAAAAGGACATAAAAGATGCCTTGGATAATTCTTGGATAATTTTGTAGCTCTGACATGGGATGGAGCAAGAGAGACAAAAAGGATCGAAAATTTATCCAAAAGCTCTGCTGTGTTCCCCGTGGCTCTGCCTTTCCCTCCAGACTCCGTAGGAGCCTCGGGCTGCATGGACATGGGAATACATGTGCAGGAGGAGCAGAGAACTGGGATCATTCCCCCTTGCTGTTTTGTAACCTTGATTTTCTTCTCTGCAATCATAAACTTGATGATGCTGTGTCTACTTCCAGCCTCTCTGATGCTGCTGAGTCCAGGGCACTGCTGTTTCACAGCCTTCATCCTGTCCAACAGTCCTGGGAAGAGAGCACAGCAGGTATTTTTGCTGCTTTCTCTTTGTGCCCATCCAGTGGCTGTCAGTGCATGCATATAGCAGTTGCTCAGTGCATTCTTGATGAACAGTTGAGTGACTTTTCCTCCTTCTTTCAGTTGTTGGCTTCTCCTCCTGTTGGAAACACTAGTATTTTTCTACATGTGAACCAAGCATAATGGGAGAAAGCAGTTATGTCAAATTGTCCAGGCATTTTGCTTCTACTATCTCTCTAGTTAACATTTTCTCCCCTCCACAAAACCTGCACTTTGGCTGCCTATTGATTGTTTTCCTGAATATGCCCAGAGCATTCCCGAAGCCTTAGGTCTGCCTCTGCCTGGGACTCCTGGATTTTCTCCTCTTATCCAGGTCAGTTCAATGGTTACTGAATACTCATGGATTGCAGCCAGTCCTTGCTGAAATTTTCTGAAGGGAAATGAGAAAACAAACCCACACCCACATACCCACCCCCCATCCCCCCCGCCACACACACCAGGATAATTTATTTCTCATAAGGTCAAATTCATTCAATTTAAAGAATTGTACTTCATTTTGAATTTTTCAAAAGCATTTTTAGTGTTAGAATATGTCCTTCTAAATATAAAATGATGGCTATTCCAAGGTGGAATTATTTTTGGTTTTAATGGCATTACTTGGAAAAATTAAGAGCTGGCAACATTTTACAAGTCTGCATGAAAAAAAAATGTTCCATAAAATCTTAATATCTAGAAATTCACTTTTCTAAATCTACTACCTCTTTTACAATGCAACTCAGTCTAACTCTTCTGGCAGGAGAAGGCTTATTTTTAATAATCACTTTCTCCTGAGTTCCTCTGGCATTTGCCACCCTTATTATTCATTCAAAGCGTATTCAAGAACTTACTACAGAATAGGTACCAAGCTGAGCATTGGGCATATACATAGTGGTAGAAAGAATAAATGCAATTTCTGCTTTTATGGAGCTTACAGTTTACTAAGAGAATATAATTACAAAATATTAATTAAATTACAATTGGGAAATTATTTTGGGAATTTTCCAGTTGGAAAAATGCTGTGAAGGAAAAATATATTGTTGAAATAATATAATGGGTGGGTTTTTTTTTTATGTTGGGGTATAGGATGGCTTCTGAGACCTGCAGGGTGAGAATAATTTGTTCAGGTGAGGTACAGTTGTGTTAGTGTGATAGGAGGGACAGGGGATATCCTAGTCAGAGAAGGAACATTTGAGTTGGGAAAACTCTTGGTGAACATGAAGTCTAGTAGAGAGAGATGGAATTAGAGATGGAGGAACTAGAATTCCTAGACCTTATAAGTCATGTTTAGGACTTGATATTTTATCCCAAGTTTAGTGGACAGCCAATGTCCAGTTTAAGCAGGAAAGTAATGTGATGATTCAATTTGCATTTTAAAATGTGAAGGTGGGCAGGTTGGAAAGTGGAGATGTTAGTAAGCAGGTCCCTTAGAGTCCGTGTGTAAGATTATGGATTTGGAAATAGAAGAAAGTAGACGGATTTAAGAAACCCATGCCTATCCTATTTATTTTGTAAGTACCCTTAGCACCAAGAGTAATTTTTAATGTTATTATATTCCCAAAGAAGCTAAAGTATGCATTATAGGTTTGCAATATGATGAGCAATGGTTCTAGGTACTGAGACTGTATCTTTAGCTAAGAGATAGTTGGTACTTGTCCTATGGAGTTTGCAGTTCAAGGCAGGGACATAGAGAAACAAGGAAGCTTTACATTATTTAGTGGTAAGGACTATGGCATGCATAGGCACAGGGTACTGTCTAAGAACAGAGAAGTGGCAGTTTACTAAGCCAATTAATATGTTTGGGAGAGAGGAATGCCTTTGAAGAAGGTCGTGTTAGCATTGAAACAGAAGAAGAATGTGAAATTAAATAAATTTACATGATAGAATATGTTATGTATTATTTAAAAGAAATTCATGCAATGAGTAGGTAAGAGTAAGGACAAGATAGGAGGTGCTGTGGGCATGTTCCAAATACAAAGAACAGCACATGCAAAGCCCTGAAGATGACAGAGCTTGGTGTAGAACAAACGTTATTGATTATGGCACTCCACTGCTTGTTGATATTTCCCAAATCAATCTATTGCATTATCTTATATGAAGATTTAGTGGTAATGAGATGGATGCAACAGGCTTAATTACAGTAAGTGAGGGAGGGTTAACTATAATAGCTGTGAGGAACAGTACATTATGACCAGCTTGCTCCAGCAGATAACATCTAATTTTCTCGCTGCTGAATCATGTAGAACTGTGTTTTCTTGTTGGCATCCACAGAACTGAGGAATTGCTACTTTAACACTTTTGATATTTCACAGGGACTTGTGCCTAGTGTTTAGAACATCAGGTACATTACTTGTACTCTACAAATTGCAATGTGTTAATTTTATAGTGGTGGCAGGAAAAGGTAATTGCTAAGGCTAGACAACCTCAGAAGTAGCCTACATTATTTTTAGTGGATTCCCCAAAGAGTTTCCTTGTCAGGAGGAAAAGCTGCAGCAGAATAATAAAAACTGTGTGACAGAGGTAATAGACATGGAGAACAGAGAACAGAGATTCTAACTAAAAATTAAAAGCATACCAAATGAAGAAGCAAACAATTGGCATACCAAGCTATTTTCACTATGGTAGATTTATAATATATTTTAATAGCTATAAAATAGCTATCTATCTCTATATATGCCTACTTACTATATAAAGAATATTTATTTAGACTCATAAAATGGGCAGACTTAATATTCATTAAATATACATTATATAAACAGGTTAACACTTTTAGTTATTGCCTGCATTGAAAAAAAGTGAAAAAAGAACTTTAAAAATCAGTTAAATGCACTGACCTGAAAACACTGACATTTTTAACTTTCATAGTTTAAAGTCCAGGAAACACAGTTCTTGCATAGAACAGAAACACAGAGGAGGTAAAAAATGACTATTTAGAAGGAAGAATCTGAGAAATATTTTGACAGTGAGTACACATGACCTGTAATTGTCACACTTCATACTACATTTTTGTGCTAGCTAGCTTTTATTAAATAGAATAATTCAAGTTTTGAACTAGTTTCTTTAAAATGGAGCTCATTTTTGGTGAGAAACAATTCCCCTTTCTCCATTTCCATGCAATTTACACACTCCAATCTTCTGGAAGAAGCCAATTTAAAATGGCAACTTTGGAGTTATAATAAACTTTACGGATATGTTCAGTGAATTTAAACCTCAAATTTATTCCTAAATATTTTCGGAATGGATCACAGATTTTTCATCTCCTTTTTTTCAGATAATGCAGCAACATAATTCATTGATGGACTTTAGCTATTTGATTAATAGTGAAATTATTTTAGCCTTACTTTACCTGATTTACAGGGATAGGATTATTTTGCATTAGTTATGACTAATAATTATGGTTTGCCCAGAAGTTTGTGTAAAAGGAGCTTCCTTCTGTTCTACCATCTTCCCAAGTGTCTTTGCGACAGAGTGAAGACTTCTATCTTGTGACTCCAAGTCCTAGAACTGGGGTTTGGCAAAAGCTTTGTCTATGGATAGTCCTGCCTCTTTTAGCCATTGAAAAGCAGCAGCTGCAGCTGCAGATGAAAGGATTGTATTTTCATGAGGACAGGACACTTGGCCTCTCAGTGGCCCTTTCGTGCAATGAGCGTGAGTAGTTTTGTCTTCACATATGAAGAACATGCTTGTATGTTAGTATGTACATGTGTGCATGTGTTCATATGCCCAAGCATGCACACAATTAATCAAATATCATGTTGAATTATTTCAAGGTTCGGGTATTTGTTGATTTAAACTGCACATGCATTCAGGGGAGCATATTTCCCACAGGGTCAGATCACAATGGCTAAAGAAGCTTGTTTTTCTGGTTTGGTTTTTGCATAGTGCATTCATTCTCTTTTTAATTGGATCACTAGGGGGTTATTAACATTGCTCTAGTTGAGGAAATGGAAACCCAGTAGCCTAAAAAAGTCAAGACACTTACTAAACAACCTAGTTCATAGTAACATTTCTCTATCTATTTTCTTATTGGGCATGGGTGTCTACATGTTCCTGTGTGTGTGTGTGTGTGTGTGTGTGTGTGTAAATGTGTGTGTATGGTTCTACACTAGATAAGATTTCAAAAATCGTTAACAGGATACTTGGACAAATATTTTACTTTCTCTACCCACTAGACCATTTATGCAGTGCCTGACATCTCTATATTTTTCATAGAGATTCCACTGCTCTATCAAATCCAACTTTCCACGGAAAGTTATCTTGGCACAAATTTATGAAGAGTTAAGGTAAGAATTTTGGCTTCTTTGGCTCCAGTGGCACGATTGGTTAGTGCGCAGTACTTATAAGAAATTTTTGCTTATCACTAGGCAAAATTACAGATTCTTAATCCATGAATTTAACCAAGTCCCTTCCTTTCATTGAATGAAATAAATAAATAGCCTTTTAAGACCAATAATAAAAGAAGATATAGCCTGTCTGCCTCTTCTTAAAGGGTCTTCTTATAATGTATCTGAGAAAAAGGAATAGATCTGAAGTGTGGTTACCTCTCTGCTTTTGCTTTCTTTCCTCCATCCCTTCTAGGCCAGCCTTGGTCTCTGCTAACCACGAACTAGTCACTTCTAAAATTTTAGAACCATATCCTCTCTCAAAATAATACTTTGGTCTCAGCAGTGTGATAACATTGGGAAGGTCGTATTCTTTCCCTTCCTTAAAATTCCTCACTATGCCATCGGAACAAAGCTAGTGTCATTCGTGGTGGGGGGGGCAGGGCTGGTGGAGAGGGAATGAGAAAAATCACATAGCACACTGAAGTCCAGCAGAAAGGGTAAACTTTGATGAGCCAAGCCAGATCCCCTTCCACCTGTGTGAAGAGAAAATATGTCCTTTGTTTTTCCTGTGGTTTAGGTTAAAATATATGCACAGATACACACCAACATAAATATATACACAAACTACACACACAGACATGTCATGTGGTTATTGAGCATATGAATTACTGGGCATATGAAGTATGAACTATGGGCATATCAAATTGAGATATGCTATAAGTGTGAAACGCACATAAGATTTGAACACTTAGTATGAAAAGAGTAAAATATCTTATTAATTTTTAGATTTCGATCACATGTTGAAATAATATTTTGGATTATTGAATTAAAATATATTATTAAAATTAATTTCATCTATATCTTTTTATTCTTTTAAATGTAGCTTCTGGAAAATTTAAATTTATATATATATAGCTTGCATTTTATTTCTATTTTACAATGCTGCTCTACAGAGCTATATAATAGAAGAAGATTTTCCTAACAGCAATATAATTGGGCATAATTTCTGCTGTTAAACTTCATAAAAAGTAGTTGTAGTTACCATTTTTTCATTCTCCTACTTTCAGATCTTGTCAACAATGTACCTCAGAATAAGCTTTGAATTTGCAATTTCATCTTTATTTTAGATCAGATTAAAAGTTTAAGTAGCTAGACTTTCTTGTCCCAAGTTCCTATAATCAGAGGAGTAAATACATAATTTATTTTTCCATTCTCCCCAGACAATCTTTCCATGTTGGGCAGGATAGTGGTAGGGTGAATTGTTGGAATTTTATCAGATTATCATTATTTATTCTGTGTCAGCTCCTCCTCACAACTTAGCTCCGTTTGTTTCATATATATCCAAAAAGGTATTGCCACCTATATTTTAGGGATGAAAAAACTGAGGACAGTAGAGGTTAAATGACTTGTCTAAGGCCTATGGGTTAGGGAGTCCTGGAATTGCAGTTTAGGAGCCACGTCTTCATTCTTCACTGTGCTAAGTATCTTCAAGGCAGAAGAAATGCATTATGCATTTAACCTATGATCATAATATAAGGATCAACTAATTACTATTAGTTTGCATGTATATTGTACATCATATGGATGACGATATATTTGGCATTTTGGTCAATAGAGAGAAAACTGATTCCGAAAACCATAAAAATAAGGCTGCGAAATGGAAAATGACTCTTTGTGTTCAAAGGCAGTAAGTATGAAAAAAAATTCATACATAATTTGAAACAACAATGATTTTATAAACAATGAAATTAATTAAAAATCTTCAAAGTGAAAAATACCGTTATGTTTATTAGCCTGCTTTTGAAGTCAACCTTTCTTAACTTTTTGAAATTATTGAGTTAGTTGCATCTTTCCTAAGACCCTAGATCAGGCTTTCATCCAAATTTGTGTTTGTTCTATTTTCTAATATGCAAAGGGTCTAGTTTATGAATATGCACAGCATGAATACTTGGCAAACCCTTGGTGAACATCTACCTTATTCCAGGCCTTGAGTTATATGTTGGGAAGACAAATATGAATATGACATGATCCCTGCCCTCCGAGGATTCAAAGTGTGGTGAGTGTCAGAAAAGGATATAGGAAAAACTCATTGTGGTAAGTGCTGTGGTGAGCAGAGAGGCCCTTTGGGAATCACTGGATGGAAACTTGGTAGGCAGAATTCTAAGATGGCTTCCAGAATTCCCACCTTCTAATGGATACTTCATGTATATGTCCTTCTTTTTGAGTGTGGGAAGAGCCAGTGAATAAGATAGGACAGTACTCTCATGAGTAGGTTACTAATGAGTTGAATTTTAAGTTAACCCAAGGGCAATTATTTAGGTGGGACTGACGTAATCAGACCTCAAGGACTTGGTCTTTGCTGAAGTCAGAGATATTAAAGTGTGAGAGGATCTGTGGAGGAGGCCACATAGCAAGGACTTGGGAGCAGCTTCTAGAAGCTGACAGCAGTCCCTGGCAGCCACCTAACAAGACAATGGGGATCACAGCCCAGCAACTCCAAGGGAATAAATTCCACCCCCAAGCTGAAGGAGGTTGGAAATAGATCTGATCCTAACTGGGATTCCAGATAAAGACGCAGCCAGTTGGCATCCTGATTTTAGCATCGTGAGACCCTGAGTATGAGACCCAGTCATGCTGTGCCTGGGCTTCTGACCTACAGAACTGTAATCTATTAAATTGTGTTGTTTTAAGCTGTTAAGTGGTGGTAATTTGTTGGGCAGCCAATAGTAAACCAATACATGTCCCTAAGCCAGCATGGAAGATTGGTTGAGTTCAGGAAAGACTTCACAGAAAGAAAGAATCGTGGAACTGTATTTTGCTGGATGGGTAGGAGTGAGGTGACAAATAACTGAGTTGCAAAGTACGACTTAGGGTCAGAGTGTCTCATCCTTAGCTACACACTGGAATTACCTGGGAATATTAAACATAACTGATGCTTTGGTTCCTCCTCTTGAGATTCTGCATGACTTGTCTGGGTTGCAGCCTGGGCATTAGGAACTAAAAAATCTATTTGGCTGGTGCTAATGTGCAGCCAAAATTGAGAACCATGTTTTAGACAGAGTGAGAAAGAATGGAACTGCAAGTAGCTCAGTGTTGCTGGGGCAAATGGTAGGAATGGAATGGGTAGCTGGTTAAAATAAAAATAAAAATATAGACCAGATAGTAAATTTTCATTAAAAAAATCAAATTTCAACTTAAACTATTAGCAAAAACTTCGAACAGAAAGTTACCTGGTTAGAAAGTGATAGATGTGTGGTGTGCTAGAGAATGAAAGGCAAGAACTCTGTGGGGACAGGGAATATTTGTAATTTTAAGAGTTAAATTTCAAGCTTATTTTACAGCATTGAATACAATCGGTGCTCAATAAATGTTTGTTTAATGGATGAAAATTAGTGGGGGTACTCAGGAGAGAAGCTGTGCAACTATACATTGTGATCTGTGTGATCATACCCCACAATCTTCTATCTTTTAAGGCACAATAATCTCCCAAAAGATTAATCGCATTTCTATTGATTGCCTCATTGCTATAATCAGAAATGAGAGATAATCATTCATTTTTGCTACTATAAGCTTGGTATGGCTAATACTGCCAACACACAAAAAAAGTAGATCTTGGGTTACTTTAATACCTTTACAACGTCTAGCCCAAAAAACAGCTCTATAGTAAGATGGGTGGATGAGCTCTGGTTATATAAGGAATATTTGAGAGATAAAAATATTTTAGGTTGGGCACGGTGGCTCACACCTGCAATCCCAGCACTTTCAGAGGCCAACGCTGGCGGATTGCTCAAGTTCAGGAGTTTGAGATCAGCCTGGGCAACATGGCAAAACCCCATTTCTATAAAAAATACAAAAATTAGCCAGGCATGGTGATGCGTGCCTGTAGTCCCAGCTACTTGAGAGGCTGAGGTGGTAGGATGGCTTGAACCCAGGAGGTCGAGGCTGCAGTGAGCCATGTTTGCATCATTACACTCAAGCCTGGGCAATAGAGTCAGATCCTGTCTCAAAAAAAAAAAAAAAAGTATTTGAGCAAATTATGCCTAGAGTCTTTGCCTAGCTGGGGTTAGCTGAATGAACTACATTTTCTTTTTCATTTATTAAGTGCTTATGCTGTGTCTGGTACTGGGCAATGAGCTCTATGTTCAATATGAGACAGCACCTCATTTAATCCTCATCAAACTCACTGAGATAGAGGTAAATATCTCTATTTAACACATGGAGATTAAAAAAATAAGGTCACTTAACTCTAAATAATAGAGCCGGGATTTATAATGAAATCTGCCAGATTCCAAAACTGTGCCTTTGACCATGATGTTAGGAGTAGTCCTGTTTGGGAAGGGTTATACTAAAGACTAGGGAATTCATCTAATGTTGCAGAACAAATTTTTATTACAGTGAAGAATTTTATTTCTAGGAAATGAACTAATTGTCCTGTACATTTCTATTTCATGTAAAGTAATGATATAAAAATCAGTTTTGGAATTACTGAGTTAACATTTGGAAAATTTTTGGAGTATTAAAATATTTCAGTATAATTTTTTTTTTTACTTTGGAAACAGGAACAAACATACGAGAGATTGAAAATGTGAATCATCTGAAAGTAAATTGTCAATTTTGTAACTCAGATGGCTGTCATCCCTAGTATATTACATAAATATACATGTATAAATGATTTTATAAATATAAACGATTATCAGATACATATATTCAACAACTTAGCTCTATACATAATAAGCAATGCTTTCCAGACATACTTTCTTTGATATTTAAACTAAAGTTTTGAACTTTCATTATATAAATGGAAAAATTTAATCTAAAACATGCTTTTGTCTGTCTGATTATCTCTTTCCAATGTAAACTCTCCAATGTGCAAGGATCCTATTTTTTCATGTGGTGGGAATTTAACTCTTTTGGCACAGCATACCCTCTGGGTAATATACTAAAAAATAGTAAAATAAATAATTCATTACCTAAAAATTTGGGTCATTTTATGTGTTTATAATATTCATGGTGTAGCTGTAATAATTGTGGTGCATCTTATGGTTATAATCATGTAATTATTCTTTCCATTTCACTTTTCAATTCATTTAGTTTTATTTTTAGTTTGAATTTTGCCACAAACATTTTTCTGTTTAATTCATCATCAGCTGTAAAGTTTTGTCCTAAGAAGTCACATGTGAATTGTGTAGAGGTGACAGGCAGAATGTGATATTAATAGGTTATTGACTTGTTAGGTCTTAAAAAGCCAAAGGGAGCATCCTTTGCAGCCCCTGCAGTGCACTGGAGGTTTGTTTCATTGATTGGTCTGTTTAACCCATCATCTCCAGGCATTTAAACAATGATATACGCTTGACAAACCTAATATTTCATTTTTTATCTGGGGACCATGGAACAGAAATTAAAGGAAAGAAAGACAAATGGACAGATACACAAGCAGAAAATGATGATAAATGTGAGAGGAAGGAAGAGACAAATATAACACAGACGAAAATTTGGATCAGTAAATTCTGGAGTCAGTAAGTGTACAACCTAACAGCAAATCTCATCCCCAGGAGGTGGTTAGAGGAAAGCAGTTAACATTTCTATTGTAAGCAAAATGCAGATTCAGATACAGAACATCCAGTAAACCAAATAAGATATCAAATATATAGTGGTTACTTTTTGGATGAGAGAGAGGAGAGACAGAAAGAAAGGGAGAGGAAGAGGGAGAGAAAGAGGGAAAGAGAAGATGAGGGAGAGAGAGAAAGAGAGGGAAAGAGGAGCCATTCTTTAAAGTGTTTTGGATACTTCTGTAAAGAGCAAATCTAGGCACTTCATTTTACCCAAATTTGCTTTGCAAACCTTGAAGGAGGTGTCTGACATGACAAATGCTTGCTTGCCTGCCTGCCTGCCTGCCTGCCTTCCTTCCTTCCTTCCTTCCTTCCTTCCTTCCTTCCTTCCTTCCTTCTCTTTCTCTTTCTTTCTTTTTTCTTTTTTTAAATTTAGGTTTTTCTTTTGTCACCAAATGGACACAGGGATACTTTAAAACAACCTGCCGGCTGGGCACAGTGGCTCACGCCTGTAATCCCAGGACTTTGGGAAGCCAAGGCGGGCAGATCACGAGGTCAGGAGATCGAGACCATCCTGGCTAACACGGTGAAACCCCGTCTCTACTAAAAATACAAAAAATTAGCCGGGCCTAGTGGCGGGTGCCTGTAGTCCCAGCTACTCGGGAGGCTGAGGCGGGAGAATGGCGTGAACCCAGGAGGCGGAGCTTGCAGTGAGTCCAGATCACGCCACTGCACTCCAGCCTGGGAGACGGAGCGAGATTCTGTCTCAAAAACAAAACAAAACAAAACAAAACAAAACAAAACAAAACAAAAAAAAAACACAAAAACCTGCCTCGGATTCCTTAAATCTTTTTCTGGTGTGAAAGAGAATGGAACAAATAAAAATAAATATATAGAAGTAAATATTCCCTCAAAGAGTAGTTACTCTGTGGGACTTGGTATGATTAGAATTCTATCCTTAATATACTGTGCCCCTGGAAACAGAACAGTCACCCCAAGTCGTGTCTCAGGAACACAAGATGAGGAGAATCTAACAGGATAACTAACAACACATTTAAGTCTCTTCGTCTTCTGAGAAAGGCAGGACATTGAAGAATTAAAAAAAAAATTGAGGATCAAGTGAGCCACATCTTCATTCACACTCTTTAGTATTTGGAAGTTCTGTGCTAAGTGATTCTTTAGATTTGGGGGTGTGTGTTCTACAAAAACATATTCTAGATTTAATCTGCTTCTGTTAACCATGACATCTGCAAAGTAACAGTATTTTAAATGCTGAAAGTATACCAATTCTTTCTGAGCTCTTTTAAGAACTCGAAGGGTATCACTGTATTAACAAATAGTTGCTTCCTATTTCTGTATGTGGTAGGTGTGGGGGTAGAGGGTGGGGATGGTAAAAGGGAATTATCAGAAAAAAGTTCTTGCCTCAAGAAGAGGAGAACGGAACTGAGTTGTTTAAGTGGAATTACATGGTATGTGTAGAGTTTTCATACACTAGGACATAAAGGCAGGAAGGGTAAGAATCTTGTGGGAAGGAGAGAACTTGGGCAGGGTCCTAAGTCATTGGGGAGGAAGAGAAAGCAACTGTAGCTGGAAGAGGTACATTAAAAGGCAGAGAGTTTGGAACTACTGTGGGCTTTGGCAGCGTCATCGCCTAAAAGGCATTGAGGGTCAGCATGTGCCTTCCATCAGCTCCTGGTTCAAGTCCCTGCTCCAGCAGCAATCCAACCTTGGGAAAACCATTGCATATATCCCTCACCTTTCTTCATCTGTAGATGTAGACACCAAAAAGGTATCCTCAGTAGGTATTAGCAATTATGTTATTTTAAAAGCCAATCATTTTGAAGGTAGAAAAATATAATGTGGTACAGAGTGATTGTAATTGATTTCAGAATTTTTCATTTCTACAGCATAGAGGAAGTACACAAAAATATAAATTTTTAAGGCCGTAAATCATCAACCAGCAAACCTGGAAGCTTCCTCTCTGCCCTCTGGCCTACCTGTTGCCTTAAGCTTTAATATTATTTTTTCTTGGTCACCTCCTAGTTCACTTGATAGGTATTATTATATAAACAAGTACAGCTTTAAAATCATAAGAGTTCTTTATTAAGATAAATTAAATCATAATGCTTTATACAATTCAATGTTCTAGGACTTCATAGTATAGCACATCTAATCTGTGTAGAAAGTCACTAAAATGATTTATTAACTCAATGAAAAAATTAGGCAAATGTATTTGACTTCATTTACTTGCAGAAAATAAATTGAGGTTATAAACTATTCATCAACTGTCCATCCACCCATCCATCCATCCATCCACTCGAAACATTTACTAAGTCTGTGCCAAGTACTGAATATCTGAACTTTCAAACACAGAAGTTCAATTAGAAGATGTACTTTTACATTGAGGCCAAAATAAAAAGGAATTGTGGCTTTAGATAAATGCTTAAGTAGAGGAGTTGAGATGATAAAGTTATCTCCCAATTATTTAAGATGGAGGAATTAGTCATTTTTCTTTATTTAAACTCTATTAGACAAATATATATTTTGCTTCAATTTCCAAATAAGATTTGTTCAGGCTCCAGTAGAGTATTAGGTCAGTTCTCATTATGTAACAATAGTGTCAAATAATGATAGTAATGTTGAAATACAAACTTTGACATCTGGAACTAAGTGGTAAAATCATTGGCACTGAACATAGAAATAGGAGAATATTAAGCCATAAGCTTCACCTGGCATCTTTCATTAGAATCTGAATACAATTCTTCATTGGAATTTGCAACACTGCTTGTACTTCATCTTATTACGTTTACAGGGGACAAACAGCCATGTAATTAGAATGTATTTTCAGTATTACATGCTTATTTGTAGCCTGAAGATTAGATACCAATTGGATGTTATCATTTAATGACAAATATAATTATCACGAAGCTTGTTCTCTCCATCTAAGAGTTTACATTTCAATGTTGCTACAGTCACCCAATTATTTTTCTGTTAGCTTATATCTGTTATTATTTAATAATTGTATTCATACAAGATGTAATAAGATCATTTTAGAGTCACTGTTCAAAAATGAATCAGCTATACATAAGAAGTACACTAAAATATTTTACATTATGGCATCTTCTATTTTTATACTAATTTCCAATGCAAGTTATCACAATCATATATCTTGTTTCTTGGGAACATACATGGTGTGTCTTCAAGAATTTGAAGCTTACTATAATAATACTAATCTGCCATATGTTTGTATGGCAGCACTTTTTTTAAAAGTGCCTTCACAAAAATGAAACTTTATGCTATCCTAATTGGTTAGCGAGGAGGGGGATTAAGTGACTCTTTTAAACAGAAGGGAATTTGAGATACAGAAGAGTTGTTCTCATAATCTCAGGAACAAAATTGGTATCTTATAAGTCATAAATAGTGTTTGATATAGTTTGGCTGTGTCCACACTCAAATCTCACCTTGATTTCCCATGTGTTGTGGAAGGGGCCTGGTGGGAGGTAATTGAATCATGGCGGCAAGCCTCTCCCATGCTGTTCTCATGATAGTGAATAAGTCTCATGAGAGCTGATGGTTCTATAAGGGGGAGTTTCCCTGCACAAGCTCTTTCTCTTTGCCTGCTGCCATACATATAAGATGTGACTTGTTCCTTCTTGCTTTCTGCCATGATTGTGAGGCTTCTCTAGCCATGTGGACTGTAAGGCCATTAAACCTCTTTCTGTTGTAAATTGCCCAGTCTTGGGTATGTCTTTATCTGCAGCATGAAAATTGATTAATACAATAAATTGGTACCAGGAATGGGGTGCTACTGAAAAGATAGCTGAAAATGTGGATGCAACTTTGGAACTTGATAATAGGAAAAGGTTTGGAGGGCTCAGAAAAAGACAGGAAAATGTGGGAACGTTTGGAGCTCCCTAGAGACTTGTTGAATGGCTTTGACCAAAATGCTGATAATGCTATGGACAATGAAATCCAAGCCGAGGTGGTCTCAGGTGGAAATGAGGAACTCACTGGGAACTGGAGCAAAGATGACTCTTATTATGTTTTAGCAAATAGACTGGCAGCACTTTGACCCTGCCCTAGAGATTCGTGGGACTTTGAACTTCAGAGAGATGATTTAGGGTATCTGGTGGAAGAAATTTCTAAGCAACAAAGCATTCAAGAGGTTATGTAGGTGTTGTTAAAGGCATTCAGTTTTAAAAAAGAAAAAGTGTTGCAGGAAGTCAGGGACCCCAAATGGAGGGACCGGCTGAAGCCATGGCAGAAGAACATAAATTGTGAAGATTTCATGGACATTTATTAGTTCCCCAAATTAATACTCTTGTGATTTCCTATGCCTTTCTTTACTTTAGTCTCTTAATCCCATCATCTTCATAAGCTGAGGATATATGTCACCTCAGGACCCTGTGATGATTGAGTTAACTGCACAAATTGTTTAAACAATATGAAACCTGGGTACCTTGAAAAAAGAATAGGATAACAGCAATGTTCAGAGAACAAGGGAGATAACCTTAAAGTCTGTCTGCCTGTGGGCTGGGCAGGACAGAGCCATATTTCTCTTATTACTGAACATGGGTAAGAGAAATATCGCTGAATTCTTTCCCCAGTAAGGAATATTAATAATTAACAGCCCTGGGAAAAGAATGCATTCCCAGGGTGGGGCCTCTAAAATGGCTGCCCTGGGAGTGTCTGCCTTATGCAGATGTAGATAGGGATGAAACATGCCCTAGTCTCCTGCAGTGCCCCCAGGCTTGCTAGGACTAGGAAATTCCAGCCTGGCGAATTCTAGTCAGACCAGCTCTCTGCTCTTGAACCCTGACAATGTGTGCACAGCGGGACATGGAAGTTCATTAGTGATCCTAGTTTCACCCTGACCTTCTGCCTTGTGATCTTTTGTCGCCCTTGAAGCATGTGATTTCTGTGACCCACACCCTATTTGTACACTCCCTCCCCTTTGAAAATTGCTAATAAAAACTTGCTGGTTTCACGGCTCTGGGGGCACTACGGAACCTGCCGGCATGTGATGTTTCCCCTGGACACCCAGGTTTAAAATTTCTCTCTTTTGTACTCTTTCCCTTTATTTCTCAGACAGGCTGACACTTAGGGAAACTAGAAAAGGACTCATGTTGAATTTTCGGGGGTGGGTTCCCCCAATAAAAAAGAGCATAAAAGTTTGTAAAATTTGCAGCCTGACAATGCAATAGAAAAGAAAATCCCATTTTCTGAGAAGAAATTCAAGCTGGCTGCAGAAATTTGCATAAGTAATGAGGAGCCAAATGTTAATCACCAAGACAATGGGGAAAATGTCTCCAGGGCATGTCAGAGACCTTTGTGGCAGTCCCTCCCATCACAGGCCCAGAGGTTTAGAAGGACAAAATGTTTTTGTCGGCTGGGTCCAGGGCTCCCTGCTTTGTGCAGCCTAGGGGCTTGGTGCCCAGAGTCCCAGTCCCTCCAGCTGTGACTAACAGGGGCCAAGGTACAGCTTGGGCTGTTGCTTCAGAGGGTGGAAGCCCCAAGCCTTGGCAGCTTCCACATGGTGTTGAACTTGTGAGTGCACAGAAGTCAAGAACTGGGGTTTGGGAACCTCTGCCTAGATTTCAGGAGATGTATGGAAATGCCTGGGTGCCCAGCAGAAGTTTGCTGCAGGGTTGGGGCTCTCATGGAGAACCTCTGCTAGGGCAGTGCAGAAGGGAAATGTAGGGCTGGAGCCCTCAAACAGACTCCCTACTGGGGCACCACCTAGTAGAGCTATGAGAAGGGGGCCACCATCCTCTAGACCCCAGAATGGTAGAACTACTGACAGCTTGCACCATGTGCCTGGAAAAGCCACAGACACTCAATGCAAGCCCATGAAAGCAGCTGGGAGGGAGGCTGTACCCTGCAAAGCCACAGAGATAAAGCTCCCCAACCCCCTGGGAGCCCATCTCTTGCATCAGCATGTCCTGGATGTGAGATAGGGAGTCAAAGGAGATCATTTTGGAGCTTTAAGATTTGACTGCTCTGCTGAATTTTGGATTTGCATGGGGCTTGTAGCCCCTTTGTTTTGGCCAATTTCTCCCATTTGGAATGGCTGTATTTACTCAATGCCTGTACCCCCAGTGTATCTAGGAAGTAACTAACTTGCTCTTGATTTTACAGGCTCATAAGCAGAAGGGACTTGCCTTGTCTCAGATGAGACTTTGGACTGTGAACTTTTGAATAAATGCTGAAATGAGTTAAGACTCTGGGGGACTGTTGGGAAAGCATGATGGATTTTGAAATGTGAGGATATGAGATTTGGCAGGGGTCAGGGGCAGAATTATATGGTTTGGCTGTGTCCCCACCCAAATCTCATCCTGAATTCCCATGTTTTGTGGGAGAGATCTGGTGGGAGGTTATTGAATAATGGGGGCAGGTCTTTCCCATGCTGTTCTCATGATAGTGAATAAGTCTCATGAGCTTTGACGGTTCTATAAGAGTGAGTTTCCCTGCATAAGCTCTCTCTTTGCCTGCTGCCCTCCATTTAAGATGTAACTTGCTTCTCCTTGCCTTCTGCTATGATTGTGAGGCTTCCCCAGCCACGTGGAACTATAAGTCTGTTAAACCTCTTTCTTTTGTAAATTGCCCAGTCTTGGGTATGTCTTTATCTGCAGCATGAAAATGGACTAGTACACCAAAAAAGAGCCCGCATGGCCAAGACAATCCTAAGCCAAAAGAACAAAGCTGGAGGCATCATGCTACCTGACTTCAAACTATACTACAAGACTACAGTAATGAAAACAGCATGGTACTGGTACCAAAACAGACATATAGACCAATGGAACAGAACAGAGCCCTCAGAAATAATACCACACATCTACAACCATCTGATCTTTGACATATCTGACAAAAACAATAAATGGGGAAATGATTCCCTATTTAATAAATGGTGCTGGGAAAACTGACTAGCCATATGTAGAAAGCTGAAACTGGATCCCTTCCTTACACCTTATACAAAAATTAATTCAAGATGGATTAAAGACTTAAATGTTAGACCTAAAACCATAAAAACCCTAGAAGAAAACCTAGGCAATACCATTCAGGACACAGGCATTGGCAAGGACTTCATGTCTAAAACACCAAAAGCAATGGCAACAAAAGTCAAAATTGATAAATGGGATCTAATTAAACTAAAGAGCTTCTGCATGTCAAAGGAAACTACCATCAGAGTGAACAGGCAACATATAGAATGGGAGAAAATTTTTGCAATCTACCCATCTGACAAAGTGCATCCAGAATCTACAAATAACTTAAACAAATTTACAAGAAAAAATCAAACAACCCCATCAAAAAGTGGGTGAAGGATATGAACAGACACTTCTCAAAAGAAGGCATTTATGCGGCCAACAGACACATGAAAAAATGCTCATCATCACTGGCCATCAGAGAAATGCAAATCAAAACCACAATGAGATACCATCTCACACCAGTTAGAATGGGGATCATTAAAAAGTCAAGAAACAACAGGTGCTGGAGAGGATGTGAAGAAATAGGAACACTTTTACACTGTTGGTTGGACTGTAAACTAGTTCAACCATTGTAGAAGACAGTGTGGTGATTCCTCAAGGATCTTGAAATAGAAATACCATTTGATCCAGCCATCCCATTACTGGGTATATACCCAAAGGATTATAAATCATGCTGCTAGAAAGACACATGCACACGTATGTTTATTGTGGCACTATTCACAATAGCCAAGACTTGAAACCAACCCAAATGTCCATCAATGATAGACTGGATTAAGAAAATATGGCACATATACACCATGGAATACTATGCAGCCATAAAAAAGGATGAGTTCATGTCCTTTGTAGGGGCATGGATGAAGCTGGAAACCATCATTCTCAGCAAACTATCGCAAGGACAGAAAACCAAACACTGCATGTTCTCACTCATAGGTGGGAATTGAATAATGAGAACACCTGGACACATGAAGGGGAACATCACACACCAGGGCCTGTTGTGGGGTGGGGGGGCGGAGGGATAACATTAGGAGATATACCTAATGTAAATGATGAGTTAATGGGTGCAGCACACCAACATGGCACGTGTATACACATGTAACAAACCTGCATGTTGTGCACATGTACCCTAGAACTTAAAGTACAATAATAAAAAATAAAATAAAATAAAACAAAGAAAATGGACTAGTACAGTGTTCTTTCCACCAGCTGTATGTTGTGAAAGTTAAGCAGCATTGTGATCATAATTTGAAAGCAATTTCTGAAGGATTCATTTATTTATTCATTCACACTGTGAGTTGCCAAACGGTCTGCAATAGGGCTAACTCAGGACAAAACTGGCTTTGCTGGGAAAGCTGCAAACTGAGATCAGAGTCATCCACTGGTCCACATGTCATCCAGAAGGCAGAAGTACCAGAAGAACAAGTGTTGGGAGACACTAGAAAGATATTTCTAGAGTCAATGGAAGGAAGCGCATGTTATACTAGATGACCCACCAATCTCTTTAGACCAGGGGTGGGTTGGTAAATATTTAACAAACAGCTCTCCAGGGTGATCTGAGCTCCAATTTCTAGCATTTTCTGATTTTTGTGGTGTAAATTATCCCACCAGGGTTTATTTTAACCTACCAATGTGATATCCCTGATTGTGGAGTTAATAAGGGACATGCAGTAGAATTATACTGTATTTCCATTATATACATACAGTGGATGTATATAGCATAGCCTTAAAAGCATAGATCATAGTAAAATGCAGAGTTACTAGGTGGTGATTTGTTCTGAATATTGATTATCTTGTTTTAAATAAATTAATTATCAGTTCATATAACTTTATTTTAAATAATGGCTCTTGTTTTTGTGTCAATTTACTTTCGAAATAACAAAACTAAACAATTGCTTCTCTCCAGCTGGTGCTATAATTTCAGCACACCATTGCTCTGGACCCTCACTTTCCAAAATGTAGAAAGATCCAGTTGCTTGCCCTCAGTATTAGTTTGCTAGCGCTGCCATAACAAAGTGCCATAAACAACAGAAATTTATTGTCTCAGAAATAAATTTAAACATAAATTTATTCCGTGGCTTAAACAACAGAAATTTATTGTCTCACAGTTTTGGAGGCTAAAAGTCTGAGGTCAAGGTTTCAGCAGAGCTGGTTCTTCTGAGGGCTGCAAGGGAGAATTCATTCCACATTTCTCTCTCAGCTTCTGGTGGCTTGCTAGCAATCTCTGGTGTTCTTTGGCTTGGACATACATTACCTTGATCTCTGCCTTTGTGTTTATGTGGCATTCTCCCTGTGCACATGTCTGTTTCTCTGTTCAAATTACCCCTTCTTATAAGGACCTAGTCATACTGTATTACAGCCCATCCTAATGACCTTATCTGAGCTAAATACATCTGCAATGATCAATTTCTAAATAAGGTCATATTCTGAGGTGCTAGGGGTTAAGACTTAAGTATTTGAATTTTGGTGGGGACACAATTCAACTTAAAACAGGCCCCCAGACTTTGAGAGTTTTCTGTTCTCTCTGCTCAGAACATTATTATTTCCCTCATGAAATGGATTGGTAGTATACACTGATTCTTCAGGCCTGGAGGCCCTTACCCATTCATCCAACAAAATTCCTACTCACCCTTCAGGGGACAGCTCAAATTTCACCTCTCCTTTACACCTTTCTCTGACCCTTTTCTGTCCTCTTAATACCCAAACCATGCCACCATGGTGGCAGACTTGCACTCCTATGACATATGTGGCATGTGGTATAGACTTCTGTTAGAGACAGTGTGACCTCATGGTTAAGTGCACAGGCTGCTCTGAATTCAGAGCTGGGTTTGAATTATTGCTTCACTCCTTTCCTGGATAAGCCACATAAACTCTATGGCATCTGTTTCCCCATTTCTAAAATGTGGGTAAAAAATTAACTTTCAGGGTTATTTTGAGGATTAAATGAGAGAATGAATATAAAGATCATGGCATAATACCTGGTACAAACCAAAGCCTCAATAAATGTTGGCTGCCATGTTGGGAAAATACACTCTCTACAGGATGTGGTATGCATTCAGTCTCTATAGATTGGTGTGTCTGTTGTTCACCACCAAATGCTTAACTCCTAGAAGCCAGGGGCTGTGTTACAGTACTTTACCCACTCACAAACACATAGATTCTACTCAATAAATGTTGGTTGAAGGAAACTATACATTTTAACTAAATTTTATCCTTATTACTGATGATAAAAGTCTCATTTCCTGATTTATAGTTATCTCTCCATTATATCCTAGACTAGGAAGTACATGTGTCATTTAAAGCGGATCTGAGAGTTGAAATACTTCAGCTATATTTCCATCACTGTACAAACCCAAAATCCAAAATATGACATGACTTCATACTGTGTTCTCATTAAACTTTTTATTTTGAGATAATTGTAGATTCACATGAAGTTGTAAGAAATAATACAAAGAAATCCTATGTATGTATTCTTTACACACTTTCCCCAAATGGTAACATCTTGTTAAACTACAGTGTAATATCACAACCAGCATATTTACATTGATACAGTTAAGATATAGAACAGGTCTATCATCACAAGGATCCCTCATATAGCATTCTTGGCCACTCCCATTTTTCTCCTACCAAATTATTTTATAGAATGGCTTACCATCGTACATTCCTACCAGCAACTTATGAGACCCAGTTTCTCTACATTCTTGTCAATATTGGTATCACCATTATTTTTAATTTTAGTCATATTTATAGATGTGTAGAAATATCCCATTGAAGTTTTAATTTGTAATTCCATAATGGCTAATGATTGAACATTTTTTCATGAGCTCATTTGCCATCTCTGCATTTTTTTCAGTGAAATGTCTCTTCATGTTTTTTGTCCATTTTCTAATTGTATCGTTTGTTTTATTGCTCTTGAGTTTTGAGGGTTCTTTATATATTCTAGCTACTAGTTCTTTTATGGATATGTGGATTACTATCTGTAGCTTGTCTTTTCATCTTTTTAACAGGTCTTAGGCAGAGCAATAGTTGTTAATTTTGATGAAGTCTGATTTATCAGTTTCTCCTTTTATAAATTGTGCTTTGGGTATGAAGCTTAATAACTCTTTGCCTTGCCCTAGATCCTAAAGATTTTTCTCCTATGTTTCTAATAGAAGCTTTATAGATTTGTGTTTGACATTTAAGTGTGTGATCTTTTTGGAGTTGATTTTTATGTAAAGATGTGAGACTTAGTTTGAGGGTTTTGTCTTGTGTGTATGTGTGTGCTTATGTATGTTCAATTCTTTCACCACCATTTGTCAAAAAGTCTGTCTTTCCTCCATTGAATTGTGATTGAATGTTTGTCAAAAATCAACTGGGCATATTTGCAGTGGTCTGTTTTCAGGTTATCTTTTAATCTATGTGTGTATCCCTTTGCCAATACCACACAGTCTTGATAACTGTAGTAATGTAATGTGTCTTGAGATTGCGTAAACTGATTCTTCCTACTTTATTCTTTTTCAAATTATTTTGACTATTCTAGTTAGTTTCTTTGCCCTTTCATGATACTTTTTAGAATGATTTTATCTAGAGCTACAAAATATCTTATAAGAATTTTTTTTTGTTTTTTGTTTTTTTCTTTTTGAGATGGAGTCTTGCTCTGTCGCCCAGGCTGGAGTGCAGTGGCACAATCTCGGCTCACTGCAAGCTCCGCCTCCCGGGTTCATGCCATTCTCCTGCCTCAGCCTACCGATTAGCTGGGACTACAGGCGCCCACCACCACGCCCAGCTAATTTTTTTTGTATTTTTTGTAGAGACGGGGTTTCACCGTGTTAGCCAGGATGGTCTTGATCTCCTGAACTCGTGATCTGCCCACCTTGGCCTCCCAAAGTGCTGGGATTACAGGCATAAGCCACCACGCCTAGCCCTAAAGAAATGCCTGAGGCTGGTTATTTATTTATTTATTTATTTATTTATTGAGATGGAGTCTCACTCTGTTGCCCAGGCTGGAGTGCAGTGGCACGATCTTGGCTCACTGCCACTGCCACCTCACAGGTTCAAGGGATTCTCCTGCATCACCCTCCAGAGCAGCTGGGATTACAGACACCCGCCACCATGCCCGGCTAATTTTTGTATTTTTTTAGTAGAGATGGGGTTTTGCCATGTCGGTCAGGCTGGTCTTGAACTCCTCACGTCAGATTATCTGCCTGCCTCAGCCTCCCAAAGTGGTGGGATTACAGGTGTATGTCACCACACCTGGCCTGAGGCTAAGAATTTTGGTAAGAATTGCATTAGATCTGTATACAATTTAGGTTGTATTGACATCTTTATTCTGTTAAGGCTTCTAATCCATGAACATGGTATGTTTCTCCATTTATTTAAATCTTTGCTGTCTTTCAACAGTATTTTGTCATTTTCAGTATACACACGTCCTATGTATGTTTTAGATTTACATCTAAATACTCCATTTTTTGAGCGATTAAAAATAATATTGTGTTTTTAATGTAATATCTTCACATTATAATATATAGAAATACAGTTAATTTGTGTGTGTTTGTCTTGTATGTTGTGGCCTTGCTGAACTAACTTATAAATTCTAGAAGTTTTTTTGGTAGATTCCTTGGAATTTCCTACTTAGATATAATAATGTATCTAAGGGAGAGGCCAGGCATGGTGACTTATGCTTGTAATCCCAGCAGTTTGGGGTGACTTAGGCTGGCGGATCACTTGAGGCCAGGAATTCGAGACTATCCTGGGCAACATGGCTAAACCCTGTCTTTACTAAAAATACAAAAAAAAGAAATAGCCAGGTATGGTGCACATGCCTGTAATTCCAGCTATTCAGGAGGCTGAGGCACGAGAATCACTTGAACCTGAAAGGTGGAGGTTGCAGTGAGCTGAGATTGCACCACTACACTCTAGCCTGGGTGACAGAGCAAGGCTCTGTCTCAAAAATATATAAAAATAAAAAATAAATAAAATAAAAATAGGAAGACTTGTATTTTGCACTTTAAAAAATGTGTTTGCCTTTTATTTCATTTTTTTGCCTTATTACACTGGTTAGAATTTCTGGCTGGAATTTCCAGGCTTACCACATGGTCTTCATTAATGCCATGGGAGAAGTCTCATTACAATCTGTTTAGGGTGGAAGTCTAGATTTCCCACTCAGCTTTTGCTAGTGAGATTAGGGGTGAAACCACAGTTTTCTCTGTGGTGTTTGCAGAGAGCAGTTATTGTCCAAAAGTTTTCTGTCTTGCTAGACTGGCCCTTTCCTAGTCCTTTGGATAGAGAAATCAGGCATTTGTGTGTGTGTGTGTGTGTGTGTGTGTGTGTGTGTATGTGGCTTTTTCTGTCTACACTTGTTGGCATTTTCAGGTTGGTGACTCCTCTGGCATTTAATATGGGGTATATGAGGCAAAATGAAAACCTGGTAAACTATTACTATGTTGTTTCTTGGTCCTGAGATCATTAGGAGGCCTGCCTTTTCCTCTCTACTTTTCAGTCTTATGCTTCTTTTATACATAATTTCCAGAGTTTTAAATTGTGCTTAGCAGAGACAATCAAGTATGTCCACTTCTTCTCCCTGCGAGTTGTAGTCCAACTTCACAGTTTTAAAGATAATGTATAATGCATACATTTTAAAGGTTTACAAATGTTTGCTCAATTTTGTAAGTAAACAATCTTTAATTTTTTACATATTTTAGAACTTTTCATTTTAATTAAAAAAGAAAAAAAAAACACCAAGATTACCAATGACAAGATAGTAAGAAAGACTCCTAAGTTTCTAAGTTTCTATAGTAAAAATATGGTATAATTAGAGTGAAATGTTAGATAAAAGCATATGACATTTTGTCAACTAAAGAGATACAAGTAAAGTAAATATAAAATTTATTATTTTGTGGGAATATATAATAATCATTGTGAGAGTGATAGTCTTGCTTTCTTTCATACATTTCAAATATAACGTCTTTAGAGATATAAAAGCAGCAAAACATTTGGAATGAGACAACTGGGTTTGAATTGAGTTCTGCCTATTATTTGCTTTGAAATATCAAGATAGTTTTTCAATGTTTCCTTGTCTGTAAATCAGGATGGTGTTGGTTGTGAAGATTAACTAAGATAACATACATAAAGCTCCTAACAGTTTCCAGCATATAGCAGCTACTCTACAAATGGTAAGCCCTTTTCTTTAACAAGATTAGAAGTTCATGTTAATTCAGGATGAATTGCATCTCATTGTTCTAGGCATGTGTCTTTGTAATCTCTATAATTTGCAAATAAAATATGTATTAAGAAAATACTAAAGAAAATTGCTTATAAAAAGTTGGAAACAGAAGTTTAACCTACACAGAAAAATAACGCATGTGAGCCTCACTATTTAAAAATAATTTCATTGAATGTCTATGCAGAGAAGTTGGAAAGGGAAGCAAAGTTTTCTTGTTAGGTATCTGTTGAGTAGGCCACATAGAAAACTTTAAGACCAACAACATTAATTCCATTCTAACTCCCTTTTAAAACAATAGTAAAAATTCTTTACATTTGTATACTGCTTTACAGTTGACAAAGAGCTTTCACATACATTATCTCCTTTAAAAGAGACTGGAAGGCACCTTTCCTGCCTGATTGATGTTTATGAATGTACTACTTTCCCCTGGGCTGCAGTCATCAATAGTCAATGAGAAGGAAGGCTGGCGTTTTTGGAAATGCTCTGCTGCCAGGTAACTGCATTAACTCTGCTATTGTTGAATAGAGCTATATATTAACTGTGCCACAGGATATCATCCATATCAACTAATGAATATTTGAATGCTTGTTCCATGTGGAGCAGTGTTTGAGACCCATTCCTCTCTGCTTGTCTAGTGTCCTCCCTCAGGATCTATATCCTCAATGAAGTTCTGATGGCTCTAGCCATTTCAGAAAAAACCTACACAGAGGGTACTTCACTTAGTCCTAAAGAAAAAAAAAACGTAAAAAGTACATAAATAGGTAAGCTGTTGTATGGAACAAGGGTTATACTGTTCCGATGACAGAAATTGATCCTATTTATTGATGTCATGGGAGGCATATTTTGCTTTCATATAAGAACTTTCTATAATAAAAGTTAGAGTACGCTAATGAGATCTCTGTCTGCGGAAATATTTATCAGAAGTCTGGGATGAGACAGAAATTTCTGATTCCAGGTTCTCTGCTTCCAAGATTTTTATTTATTTATTTGTTTGTTTATTTATTTTTTCATTCTCTAAGGAAACATTCCTTATATTCCCTATATTTCTCTGTATTCCTCATGATTTCAAGTGTGTTCACAGCCTGTTGACTAAAAACTGAGGCAAAAATAAACCAAAAACCACATTATGCTTTCTAGGAAAATCTGTAAGAGTAGAAGTTTAATTAAACTGATGAATCAGCACCTCTGAGGCAGGACATCTCAGTTTTGCTTTGTTTTAGGGCTATACAGAATTTCTTCCATCTTATCCACCAGTTCTAATCCCCATAAATGATGATGCTCTTGACATTTTCCCACCAAAACTCCTAAAGCTTCATCCTGAATCCGAGGATTCAACAGGCCAGTTTCAACCAGCTGCTGTAATACTGTAGAGGGAGGTCAGCCAACTCCCCATCGGAGGACAGGGTATTCTCTCTGCAACTGATCCGTGTCTGCACTTCAGGATCTGTCACTTGTGATGGCCAACTTCCAGGAATTAGTTTCAGAATTGGTCATATCTCTTTTGGTTGCAAGTGGCAGTAAACCAACCCGCATAGCTAAGAGCCCCAAAGGAATTGATTCACTTGGTACTGGGAAGTACTGGGAAGTGCTGGGAAGTGAAGGAGACCTCAGTCACACTAGTTACTTATCTTTTATTTTTATTATAACCTAATCGTTCTGAAACAAAGTAGATATAAGGATTAGAGATGAAGGAATCATCTTTAATAGCTGAAAACTAAACTTTGTTTTAGTAATGGTTGTCATAATACTTCTGTAAGTTTCTCTCTCATAACATTCAGCTAGAGGCTCAATGAGTGATAGTTACCCATAGAGTTATAACAAAAGGCTCTTTGCTAATTGATAATGATATAAGAGCAAGCTTGAGAAAGAAAGAAAAAGTGTAAGAGAATCATTTCAAATCAAAAGGTAAGATTAATTTTTGAGGAGGGTACCGTGAGCTACGGGAACACAGGAAGGCCATGCCGTAAGGAGAGCCACCATAATGCATAACTTCAGAAATTATATGCACATTGTCATCTGTATGAATGGAGGGCACATGCAGTTACCATTCACATAGCTTCTTGATTGAATAATATGAAGTTGTTGATACTTAACAATATTTGGTACACAAAAACAAAATGTGAATGTGCCCCCTGGAACTAAGCCACATGGAGTCCCTGCATGGGGAGGAAGGAAGAATCGGATTTCCCAGAGGGAGTTATATCGGAGGTGAGCCATGGAAGATGAGGAATAATCATTGTAGTGAACAAGTGGGGGAAGACATAGTCAAAGGGGATGACAGATCTTAAGAACAGAGGTGTGACACGGCGTTATGAGGGGCAACCAGAAGAAATTCAGTGTCTCAGAGGGTACAGAAGAAGGCAAAGTGAAACAGGACAGAAAGCTGAAGAGGAAGGCAAGGTTGGATTATTTAAATACTACAGATACTATAGTCTTGAAGCATAATTACAAAGTGGCTACTGGGGAAGACACTAATTCTAGAATCTCAAACAATCCTGTGGGTAACTCAATTAGATATTCCCTCTATCATGGCCTTCTCTAACTTTTCAGTTTAAATCAGGTCTGCCCCCCAATCTCTTTTGTGGCACCTTAGTCTTTTCTTTCATAGAATTGGCTATATTTTGAGATTAAAGGGTATATTTTTTGTATATTTATTTGTTTAATGTCTGTCTTCCTTACTAGATTATAAATTATAAAAGGGCAGGAACCTTGTTCAGTCTGTTTAAAATTGCCTGTTCGGTGCCTAGTCCAGTGCCTGAAAATAAATAGGGCCTCAATAAATATTAGTTGAAGCAATGTGTGAGTAACAAATATGAATTTTTTGAAGTCTGCTATTCGCATACCAATTTCTCCCTGCTAGAAACACTTTAGAAAAGTCCGTTGAAGGAGTTTATTGGAAAGTGATCTGTAGTGCTTGTCCCAATTACCTAATTCACATGAAAGGAGGCCCTTTAGCAGAAGTACCAGGTGCAGGATGGAGACAGCTTCCTTTCCTCCTGACTCCTGGGTGCTTTGGACCCAGCCTGTGTAACACCAGGTGACAAGTCAGGGTTGGGTGCATGCCAAAACAGAGAGAGGTGGAGAGAAATGTTTCATATTTTTCTTTACACTAACTCAAGGCTTCTTAACTGGAGATGAAGAGGTTTGAGTGTTAGGGGTAATAAAAAAAAGCATATTTTACATTTTTTACTAAACCCCAGGCTGTTTGTCATGGAGGGTCATCTGAGAGACATGTTGGTTATGAGAATGCAGAGTGCGATTCAATTTGGCAGACATTTGGATATTGTAAGAAGTTGAATTAGATCTTGTAGTTCATCTTTAGCCACCAAAAGGAGTGGAGATATTGTTGTTGTTTGGCTCTGGCCTGTCAATATTAAATATCTCCTTGCTATACTATATATACTTTAAAACTGTAAGACAAGTTTCCTCTTATATCCAGTTTTGTAAATTATGTCCAGATAACTTCAATAGAAAGAGAGAAACAAGCCTGAGAGACGTATCACACATGACAATTCCTGCTCCTCTGAAATACCCACCTCACTGTGACAAAAACCTGAGTCCCTAAGTACTTTCCCCAACTACATAAACTATCAACTTGCATGTCAACTGCATTTACCTATGCTTAAATGTAGAAATCCACTTTCAGTGAAAGTGTTTAATAGATGAAATATTAAATATGAGATGAGATGAAGTACGAGATAAACTACCTAATTGTGGAGAGATAATATTCATTCAAATACAAATTCTTCTGGAGGCGTGGTGTTGGTGCGTACTCAGAGTATTTTAGGCTTAGTCCTTGAACATTCACAATGTCTCCTTTCTCCCCTAAATACAAAGTCAGATCATTGTCCTGGGTATTTGAAACAAAACATTTATTACTAATTTTAAGATGAGCAAATACCTATACTGAACAAAGAGTTTAGAGAAAAACCTTATATTTGAAACCTTTGATAGGTCCTTAAATGTTTCTGCTTTTAAGAGGTACCACATAAACATTTTCTTAAGATGCATCTATCAGTGTTTCAGTAACTAGCTTTGGTTCTTGTAGAGTTAGATTCAGTTGATATTATCTGGAGCTATTACTAAAAATTCACCTGGATTTGGGAGTACAACTTTGTAAAACGATTTAAAACAATGCTAGTATGTGCCTGCAAAGACCTGTGGAGATAGTATCATCATCAATGCTTGGCCAAACCAGAAATCCAAGTGGAAGATTCTGCTACATAAACCTTACTTGGGGCCAGTGCCTATTGTCAGAGTTGAGTATGGGGAAAATATAATTATTTTATTAGGCAGCCATTAGTACTAGAGATTACTTTAATTACCTGCAAGAATTAATATGGCTCCTTAAGTGGTAAGGTAATAGTTGGTAGTTATGTTGGCACCTGAAGAAGAAATTTCACTAAGTAAACCTTTAAAAAGTAGACCCTTTTCTTTAGGAATTCTCAGACCACATCCTCATTCACGGAGCTTGAATGATCCATCACTACCCTGGAGATTGAATGAGGAAAGAGCAAAACATCGTGTACCAGGGCTTACTTGTAGAAGAATAAGTCCTGAGCCACCAGATGCATCTCATTATAAAGTTAACTAGTTAGCCTAAACTTTACTTGTATTGCAGTTAATATAAGATGCCTTTCAACACAATGCTTAGAATGTTTTACTTAATTTTTCTCTTCTGAAAATCTGCTGGTTTACGAAACTAACTACCTGTTGAGAAGGAACGAAGCTAAAACTAAAGATGGGCTTCCAGCAGAAGGATATTAGGGAGTCTATAATTTCTTCTTTATAAAAGTTTAAAAATGTAGCTGGGAGGTTTTTACTTTCACACTCTCTGAACTCAGCTGGGCAGTTCTATTAAGGTAGAGCACTTCCTTTCTCTGCAACCTTATAACCCTTGGAGAGAAGCAAAAGAAGCCGGTGCTCCTAGGAAGGCATGCTGGATTGGGAGGGGCTCCTGGGAGAGGAGAGCAATTAACTCTCTCCCTCAACTGTAGAGAACCAGGTTTCTCTTGATCTCACTGTAGACTTCAGCCAGTGGCCAGGATTCTTTACAGTGAGTGAAATGGAGAGTGATGCTGCAATACCAAAGAGGAGACCCGCCCTGGTCTGGCGTTCATAGTGAGAGAACTTTCATAATGAGGCCTGTGGATAAAGGACTGAGATCCTTTACAGTAGAGGGAAGTGCAAATAGGGTGCGTCTGAGCTGATCTCTTGGAGCCACTTCACCTCTGAACAGGTTCGGAGCTTTCAAGCCCCTTGAAGTTTTAAAAAGGCACTGATTTCAGCATGAGATGTTTGCGGCACTGTGCTCAGCTGGAATGAAATGAAGGGGAGGAAAAGTAGCTTCTTTCTTGCATTCAGAAAGCAGAGGCCAATTGAATGGATTCTACTCAAACTGATTGCGTTTGTAGTTTTTGAAAAGGAAAAAAAAGCTAAGAAGTTTAAATCCTATTCACTAAGTTCACAAAAACAAAACCTGGTCACAGAAGGACTCTGAGAAGTGCACACATCCTTACAAGAGATGGACAATTTAAAACAAGCTTCATTAAATAAGTCCCTTTCAAGCTGGCTTCTTGGTATAATTCAGTAGCTCATACTTCTCTGCCTTATTTTAACGGGGTCTTTCCTGTGGGTTAGTTTAAATCAACTGTTCTACAACATTTTGTAAATTTACAAGAATTTATTGATTCATTAAATACAAAAATCTTTTCATATTTCCTCTCTAGAGAATGGAGTATACCTCTGTATCTTCCCGTCAATTGCCAATTACTACTGTGCTATGTAACAGGGAACCCAACAATAGTGTTGAAAAGTGAAATCTGGTTATTTTTTATTTGTTTGCTCATTCTGCTTATCTGACATCTCCACTTGGTCAAAATGCACAGAACACTGACAGGAGCTTTTACTGGCCTCTCTTCCATTCACTCATCCTTTGCTTATGCAAAACGTTATGCATTTATCCATCCCCGTAATTCATGCAATGCTTTAAAGCTTATTCAGCTACCTGAATCTTATCTGCCTGCTTTAGCATTTTTGGTCTTGGTCTGAAGGCCTCTAGAGGTCAGGAAATTGGATATTACCTCACTTTGTACAGGACCTGGGAGAGCACCATATACAACCCTGTGCTTAACAAAAGCTTTTATATAATGATGACAGTGATAAGGGAGTGCCATCCCTCTGCATATGAGGAATCTTGTAAAAAGTGGGTCAAATGTGAAAAATATTGTACGTTTGGAATTTGCATTTAAGGTGATGCACTGGCTAGTTCAAGCTACTGAGGTACCTGCTTGGTGCCTAGGAACAGGACTACATTTAGTTAAGTGATCTGTGTCATTAGGCTGTTAAATTAATGGACAGAAGAATTTCCAGCATTATCTTATTTTTTGATCATGTAAAATAAATCGGACACTGAATGGCACTTAATATTGTCAATTAATTAGAAATTTATATTTTAAAATTGCATTTAAACATTTTTTTTAGACAACGGTTCATGATGTGTGAATTTGCAGAGGCGGTATTTCCCATTTTTATCTCCATTTTAGGGATTAAGATAATTACTTCCAAGAAACTGAATGAAGTTGGAAATATCCCATGCTAGAATCACCTAGGGAGCTAAGATTAGAGGTGAGATTAGCTTACTTCTTCTTCTTTTTTTTTTTTCGAGGCAGAATCTCGCTCTGTTGCCCAGGCTAGAGTGCAGTGGCGCCATCTCCTCCGCCTCCCCGGTTCAAGTGATTCTCTTGCCTCAGCCTCCCGAGTACCTGGGACTACAGGCGCATGCCAGCAAGCCCGGCTAATTTTTTGTATTTCAGTAGAGATGGGGTTTCACTGTTGTTGCCCAGGCTGGTCTCGAGTTCCTGAGCTCAGGCAATCTGCCCACCTCGGCCTCCCAAAGTGCTAGGATTACAGGCGTGAGTCACCACGCCCCGCCAGCTTACTTCTAATCTTACACATTCCATGAGCCCTATGCCACTAGTTAAATTATTGAATGCCATCTATGATACTGGTTACTTTTATTTTCTATCCCCATCATTCTTAAATTCCATTTAGATAATGCTGTTACCCAAGTATTTTCTTGGGTACAGCCAGCAAGCCACACTGAAGAAAATTCAGAGCTTTCCATAAACAGTGGTATATGTGCTGTGGGAGTGTCCCCTGCATGATGCTTCAAGGAATGTCATTACAGGAAATAATGAATAGCTGGTGAAAATAGGGTTGTTGCAATACTTACACTACTGAAAGATGAGTAATATAGGAATATAGGAGGTACATATCATGTCCCCACATGAGCCAAATCCGCTTTCTTCTTAAAATTTGTGGAAGTTGATTCCCAATACTAGCTGCTGCTGTCACTCTTTTCCTCCTCTTCCTCTTTTTCCTTTTCTCCTCCTCCTCTTTCATATTATGAAAATGACTGACTTGGCTGATATTTCAAACCTAGATTTGGAAGAAAACTTAGCCATCTGCATCTCTAGGCCTACCTTACGAAAATACTTTTGCCTGCAACTCTTATTGCTCCAAGCAAGTGCAAGTCAATTGTTTTTCCTTCAAGGAAAATGGTGCAGTTTGTCTTATGGGCTTCGGCTTTTTCTGTGCTTTCTCTTTTCTGATGATTACTTCAACACCTATGTACTTTAATTGCCCCAGTTAACTTACACTTTTTAGATTAAGGTAAAATCTTTGATAGTAAACATTTTACCTTGACTGGGTGCTTAATTTGTCATTTTTTACCTCTGGTGGAAGAATAATTATTTCTCTCACTCTTGCCCCAGTTAAAGGGAGTTTAAGTATCAATAAGCAGCATGGAGTTGTTTTGGGGGTGCAGGTGGAAGGGGGGCAGTGGAAGTGAAACTACACGTTTGACTGTGATGGTAAGTTAGATTTAACTTTTCAGGCAAAACAGGTGTGCTTTGGTTGAGGGGGAATGGATCAACTGGACAATCAAGATTTCTGTCTGCCCTGGTGGCTCCCTGCTCCCCTAGGGAGGATGAATCCTAGGTTGACTCCACTGAGCTGCTGGCAGGTGTGAATCCAGCAGGCTCCTTCTTATCTTTCTATGAATCATGGGTTTCTTTTGGCTGGCCTAGGAAGTTAGATATGTCATGGGATCTCTTGATGAGCACAGGACAAAAGAGGGTGGCTGGTGTCTTAGCAGGAAAGACAGTAAGGAAATTCCCATGCCAAATTGTCTTTCAAGCCAACTAGATTAAAGATATTTGATTGAATAATAATAAATATACGGAAAGTTCTGTGCATAATGGTCAAACTGAATGTAAGAAAATTCTTTTAACCTCTATGGCATTTGCCCAAGAAGTCTGAAGGAACTGAAAAGGACTCTAGTCTAGAGAAATAATAGCTGACACTTGATTGGAGATGATAAAAATCATATAGGAGGAGTCCCATTAGTAATGAAATAACATAAAAAGAAAAATTCTTTTTCAATAATATTCTCTGTCTCTAGTGAATGACAATGTACTTTGAAGCATTAAATTTATCTTTATGTTCTCCTTGAGATTTTGGTGTAAGTCTGACTCAAGTTATCTGATTTATCTCACTGGATGGTTTCCAATGGAAAAAAAGCTTCACATTGAGGCTGTTTTTCATCTATCTTTTAAAAAGATATAATGATTAATGTTATTTTTAATGACAAATTTTTAAAAGCAGTTTTAGGGTTACAGTAAAAATGAGTGAAAGGCACAGATATTTTCCATATACCTCCTATTCCCCCCCATGAATAGTGTCCCTTATTATCAACATCTTCCATCAGAGTTGTGCATTTGTTATAATTGATGAACCTACATTGACACATCATTATCACCCCAAATTCATAGGGTGATACATAAGGGTTTGCCCTTGGTGTTGTACATTCTATGGGTTTGGACAAATATTAATGACATGTTTCCATCATGATAGTGTCATATAGGGTCTTTTCACTTCCCTAAAAATCTTCTGTGTTTTGTGTGTTCATCCTTTCTTCCCCTGCTAAACCCCAGCAACCAATGATCTTTTTCCTGTCTGAGTAGTTTTGCTTTTTCCAGAATGTCTACAGTTGGAATCATTATACTATGTAGCCTTTTCAGATTGACTTCTTTCACTTAGTAAGATGCATTTAAATTTCCTCCATTTTTTCTTCCATGGATTGATAGTTCACTTCTTTTTAGTGCTAATAATCCATTGTTTGGATGTACCACAATTTATCTGTCTACCTTCTGAAAGACATCTTGGTTGTTTTCAAGCTTTGGCAATTATGAATAAAGCTGATATAAACATCTCTGTGCAGACTTTTGTATGAACATCAGTTTTTAACTCCTTTGGGTAAACAAATACTAAAGAGTACAATTGCTGGATCATATGGTAAGAGTATGTTTAGTATTGTAAGAAGCCACTAAATTGTCTTCTAAAATGGCTGTACCATTTTGCACTGCCACCAGCAAGGAGTCAAAGTCCCTGTTGTTTCATATTCTTGCTAGCATTTGCTGTTGTCAGTGTTCTGGATTTTGGCCGTTCCAATAAGTGTGTAGTAGTATCTTATTGTTGTTTTAATTTGCATTTCCCTAATGACGTATACATCAGAGCCATCTTTTCATATGCTTATTTGACATCTTTGATGAGGTGTCTGTTAAGGTCTTTGGCTCATTTTTTAATCATTTGTTTTCTTATTGTTGAGTTTTAGGATTTTTTTGTATATTTTGGATGAGTCCCTTATCAAACATGTCTTTTGCAAGTATTTTCTCACAGTTTATGGTTTGTCTTTTTATTCTCTTGACAATGTATTTTGCAGAGCAGAATATTTTAATTTTACTAAAGTCCAGCTTATCAATTTTTTCTTTCATGGGTCTTGCCTTTGGTGTTGCATCTAAAAAGCCATTGCCATACCCAAGGTTATCTAGATTTTCTCCTTTGTTATCTTCTAGAATTTTTATTGTTTTCCATTTTGCATTTAGATCTGTGATTCATTTTAAATTAATTTTTGTGAAGGGAATAAGACATGTGTCTAGATTTATCTTTTTTGCATGTGGGTATCTAGTTGTTATAGTGACATTTGCTAAAAAGACTATCTTTGCTCCATTGTATTGCCTTTTTCCCTTTGTTAGAAAATCAGTTGACTATATGTATATGGGTCTATTTCTGGGCTCTTGATTTTGTTTCTTTTATTTATTTGTCTATTCTTTCACCAATATCACATTATCTTGCTCACTGTAGCTTTATAGTAAGTCTTGAAGCTGGGTAGTGTCAGTCTTCCAACTTTCTTCTTCTCCTTCAATATTCTGTTGGCTATTCTTGGTCTTTTATTATTTTATTTTTATTTTTAGAAAAGTGACATATATACTTAGTTAAAAAAATATACATACATTTGGCTTTGGATGGCTTTTTCACAGAACATTTCCCCTAATACCTAGAAACAACACAAATACATAACAAAAATCTCTTACCTATGTTATTGCAATAGCCTCCTAATTGGTCTCCCTGCTCTTACTGTTGTCCACATACACTCAACACTCAACACAATGGCCAAAATAATTCTTTAAAAATTTTAGTCAGATCATGCCTTTGGCTAAAACCATGAAACTCAGAGGTAAAACCTTTCAATGACCTACAACACCTTGAATATCTGGCCACCATTACCTCCATGATCTTAACATACACAACTATTTGCTTCCCTCTCTAGTCCAGCACTCAAACTCCTTACTTTTATTATTTCTCAAACAAACTGGTGTGCTCTAACCTTAAGGCGATTGCATTGGCTGCTCCCTCTGGCTCTAACACTCTTCCCCTAGAGCTGTTCATGGCTCATTTCTTCACTCCTTTAATTAATTGCTCAAATATCACCTTTTAAGGATGTCTTTCATGATTGCCTCGCTTTCTACTCTCCCACTTCCCAACCCCAGTCTTCCTTAGACTCTTCTGCTTTTCCTTTTTCCCTCATAGCACTTGGCACCTTCTATCACATTATGTCATGTGTAATTACCTCTTTCTTATGTTTCTCGTTTACTTCTTCTCCTTCCTCTACACCTTTGTGAACAAGCTACAAGTGTTTTTCTAGTCTGTTTTGTGCAATAATATATCCAACAGTCTAGTTCCTGGTGCACAGATACTTAATAAATATTTGAATGAATGCATATAATACACACAAATTTCTCTTTGGTAAAGAAAAAAATTAACATTGAGATTGAAAGCATGCACAATACCCCAGGAATTTTTATGTGGAATATTCAACATAGACACATATCATAATTGAGGTACTGAAGTTCCAGGATTAAAAAACAAATTCTTTATACATATAAGTATGTGAAGCTGATCACCTACTATGGCTTAGAAAGCAGCCAGTTCTCAGATTTCTCCACAGCAGAGTTCAATGCCAGATACAATTGGTGCTATTTCTACAAAGTTTTATAGGAAAGAAAGAAAGCTAAGATGTCAGTAGAGAAAAAGGCAACAAGCAGACATTCTCAAACATAAAAGAATTCATGGAATATGGCACTCTTAAGTCCTTGAAAAAATGCTTGACAATGAATTCTAGCTAATTAAGAGATAAATCAAAATAAAGAACTTGGGAATTGAGAAGCTGACATAAAAAGGACTGATGGTGTCTGAATCCATTTAAATATAGAATTAAGACTAAACAACTGAGGGAATTATTGCTATAGAACAAAATGTGAATATTATTAATCAGAACAATGTAAAATTAGTAGTGTAAAGATAATGAAAAAGTGTGGGCAAGGAAGATATTCTCAGATTTCTAAGCAGGAGGCTACTGATATTGTCTAATATTGAAATATGTAATAAAACAGTAATGACTCCAACTCTTACTGTTTTTTCATATCCCCCCTCACACCCTTTCAAGCTTAGAGAGTTCTACGTCTCATGGTGAGGAATCACTTATTTGAAAATCAACAATTTCTTTCATTTTGCTTCAAACTTCTTTTTACTATTAAAGTAAAATTAAATTTAATACTTTGTTATTAAAAATAGTAGCTAATATAATCTCATTTTAGTGAAAAGCAATGTGATCAATCTCTATCTATCTACCTAATTGTTATTTTCGTCCTTATCTGTTTATAGCTATATGATAACATCTGAAATTGTTTTTACCTAGTGTAATGGCAGTAATTTTTGGACGGTAGAATTTGGAAGTGGCTTTTTATTTACTTCTTTGTATATTTCTGCATTAAGTACATTTAATGAGCATTACCATTCTTTAAAAAATGACAACTAAGGAAAACTTTAAAGTTTACTACCCATATCCCCCCTGAAAAAAATCTGGAAGAAAATAAGGCTACATATTAACAGTAATTAATATTACGTGTAGTAAATATAGATAATTGGTTTATTCCATCTTTATAGCTTTCTGTGTTTAAAGAAAAAAAAAAAACAAAAACATTGTGTCTTGCCCTGATGTTTTTCTCATGGCTTCATGCCAGAAAGCCAACAACTTGTAACCCTTGCAGATGCTTCTTCTGATATTTATCTACATGTGTTTATACCACTTTCTTGATTTTAGACATCATTTATTTATTTCCCAGTTTTGCAGTGGAGACTTTACCTTCTTTATATCTTTTGTCCCTCACCACTATCACAATTTTCTCTTCTACCTCCCTCTAATTTAGTTGTATTGAAATCTTTTGTTAAATAGAAACAGTGTTTACATTACAATGACTACATGCATGTTTACATTTGGGCCATTAGAGTGCTCTGATATTTTTTTCCCTCAAATGACCCTTTGTTATTCCTGGAGTTAATAATTACTTCATTTTAATAGTTTGTTTAGTTTTATACATACTTATCCCCATTTCCCCAATGCTTTAATAGATGAATCAAATGCCTCGCAATAATTGTTCCAAAACCCTCAAACATATTGTCTTTCAATTACATCTCTGTATTTGTCAGTCATCCTGTTTCTTGCTCCAAGCTAGACTGTTCTTCGAAAAACCCCTTCACAGGTCTCCTGTATTACTTCTCTCTTTCTTGGCTCCAATATCTCCGTTTCATAAAGATATTCTTAATTTTTGTGGAATACTTACTTCAGTCCCTGCCTGAAAAAGAGTAAAAGTTTTAGAGCTGCATACTTGAAATCTCCTTTATTCTGCTCTCATACTTCCTTAGCAGTTTGACTGGGCATACAATTCTAGAATGAAAATAATTTCATTCTGAATTCTGAAGGCAATGTGTCAATCCCTTGGGGCCATTAATGGTGATATTGAAAGTCAGATGTGAGTCAGATGACTGAGTCTTTGTAAGTGTACCATCTCAAGAACAGGTCCTATCTCTCGCCAGAAGATTTTAGGATCTTCTCTTTGTTCCCATTGTTTTGAAAATATGTGATTATGTGCCCTGGTTGCATCCTTTCTATTCAGAGAACTGAGCAGAAATCAGGCCCCTTTAATCTCGATGTCCTGTCCCTGTGTTGGAAAAATTTCCTCGTACTTTTCTTCTATTTCATCTCTTTCTGAAACTTCTCTTTCTGGAACTCCTAGTTTCCAATGTTGAAGTTAATGAATTGATTGTCAAAAGTCTTTCCTTATCTCACTTTTTCCATTGCACAGCTCTTCTTTTGCTTGTGTGTTTGTCTATTCTCTGCAGGATGTTCTCAACTTTATCTTCTGTCCATTCAATTGTATTTCGAATTTCTTCATCCACATATTTAATTTCCAAAATCATTTTCATATTCTCTGATTTTTCCCATAAAAATAACATCCTATTTGTATTTCATAAATGCATATTTATTCTTTTTTGTTTACATATATTAATTATAGGTTTTAAGGTAGCCTTTCTTCTTCCTATACTGACTCTGGCTCTTCTGAATGCTTCTTTTCTGTTGATGTGTTCTGGCCCCTTTATTTCATTTTGGAGAATTCCTCAAATGTTTAGTGATCCTTGGCTTTCTCAGATATTTAAAACCAAGGCTAAAGAGCTGATAAGTGACTGCACATGTGTGAGTGAGCTTATTTTCTTTAATGTTGAGTGATAATGTTTCTTTAATGTTGGGCAAATAGGTTTTTGTTACATGTGGAAGCCCCAAACATGAGTTCTCTAGGCCTTTTTCTCAGGCTCTTTGCTTCTTGAAAGAAAATTGTTTAAATCCTTGGGGAGATGGTTTTATATCTGGCTGCTGATAGAATAGTGGAAAAGAAGTGGGATGGAGACTTTACCTTTTAGGATTCATATTTTTGTATACTCTTTTCATTTTCTTACATGACGTTTTGCTCCTGCTTTTCATTGTGCCTGATATTTCTGAGTCCAGACCATCTCAGGGACAGTTTCTGTAAATAATAAAATTCCAGTCTCCCACAGAGTAGATGAGGAGTCTAGCTGTTCAGGGACCCTGAGGTCTCTATGTCTATTATGCAAATCTGAATCTGTGCCCTTATCTTTATTCTTCCTCAGTATCTGGTACCTCAAAAATCCTCAGATATTCTGGGTTAAATGAAGAAAAACCTCCTTGCTTCTCACAGACATTTCCCTCTTCAACTCCAGTTTCGTTTTGCTTCCTCCACTTGTCCAGGTCACTTTCCTCTTGATGTGCTTTTCATCTTCCCAACTTCATTGACATCTAGTCCTTTATTGTCTCCTCTCCCATCATCTTTCCTACTCATGTGTTCCACGTTTATTCCTGCTGTATCTTTTAGTAATATTTTAGAAGAGTAGATCAAACCATTACATATAATAGAGGGTGCCTATAAGTATTAATTTAAAAATGATTTACTTATCTTCTATTCAATTTGAGCAGCCTTAAAATTAAAGCACTATTATAAGAAGAAGAAGAAAAAAATTAACCTGTTAAAAAATTAGATCCAAGAAGTAAAAAGGAAGAAAGAAGGCCAAATCTGATGATAATCTGACTGAAAAAAAGCTGTGGCGATTGACTAAATAACTTGTTTTCAGACCGTTAGTCACCAGTGCAAAGAGAAAAACATCTTCACCATTTGCACAACTTCCATTGTTCAAAGGAAGGAAGAACACTTTGTCACTAGGAGGTAAAACACTCTGGCTGTGAGCTTTGAGGGTAATTTGTTTATATTCAATCCATCCATCATTTTACTGGTAGAAAGATCTTTCATTCCCACAAATCTGATTATGCCAATCTTTTGCTTAAAACCCTTCCTCAGCTCCCATTGTCTTTGACATGAAATCTAAGTAGCATTTGCTCCCTGTTCGTTTTCATGCCTCCCTCTCCAGGCTCATCTGCACCTTCACGGGCCATACCCTATGTACTATCACATTAAACTCTTGTAGTGCCTAAGTGAGTCATGCTCACCCCTTCCTCCAGCCTTTGGAACACCTTTACTTCCCTCAACGTATCCACCTGCCTAAGTCTTCACCCTTCAAGGTTCACTCAAACTTGTCTTTCTCTAAAATCTTCCCTTGTTCCAACTTCTCCCAGGTAGGTCTGTTCTGCCTCTTGCTGTTTCCTTGATCCCTTGTGCATACTTTATCATAACACTTAACACATTATCAAAACTGTGGGTTTACTCCTCTCTGTCTCCCTCCTCTCTTCCCTTAGTCCATAAACTGATTAAGTACAGGAACAGTTTGTTCATCTTAAGGTCTGCATTATCTCTGGCACCTTTTCTCCTGGCACATAGTAGGTATTTAATAAATACATTTAAAGAATAAATAATAAATGGGACATAGATATGTAGCTTTCTTCAGTCTTGTTACATGAATAAAGCTTGGAAGATCTTCAGGGTTCACATGTCACAGAGAAACCATCTCAAATATCAGCTGTCTCAGACCTTGGAGAGCAAATAAATAGCAGAAAATTGCAGGCTGAGGTTGCTAGTGAGAACCTGAAAAGGAAGTATTCTGCGTTGTTGGCTGAAAGCAGAGCCATATGCTCAGGATGCCAGCTGATGTTTTACTGTGGGAATCTAGGGCCTTCCTGGATTCTGTGCCTGAATGAGGGCCATGCTGCTCGTGTCTGCACAATTGCTCCTTGCTCTTCACATTTTCTGGAATGCTCCTCCTGCCCCCCAACACACCTACCCCTGCTTATGGCAGCAATGCTGGCCATCCTGCTGCCAGTCCTCAGGTTCTGTAATTCTCTCCTTTGAGCAAACAGCTGTTTGCATTTGTCATATTTGATTCAGATATTTTATAAGGTAATAAAATATTTTAGATATAGCAGAAGCTCCATTTGTAGCTGTCCCAGATCCCATCATCCTTTCTTCCTCCTCACACCCAGGGGTCCATTCAAAACAATTGTAATACTTTTATGGATTGATAAGGCAGCAGGAAATCAGATCAAGAAAAACTTTTTGTTCAATAGCACAAGAAAGAGGGAACTAGGTGACTATCACTAAACTACCACTAGTTAAGAGAGAGCAGATTTATGAGCATGAGTTTCTACCTTAGGCCTGTCATATTTTTTCACCTTTATGTTAGTTAATTGCAGAGTAACATAAATTAACTTTGGAACACAAGCAAAAATGGGAACTTTATTTATGAATTTCTTGGATTTCTTTACCTCAAGCCAAACAACTAAATTGCTACTTAGCATAAATTATTTATGGGCCCTGGCTCAATACCATCCAGCACCAGCCCCCGGAGGTATGGGAGATATAAAAGATTTAAAGCATTGCTGCGACAGTGTTCAGGCTGCCATGGAGCTGTGTTTCTTTCCAGAAGGGTCCACTTTATTTTGTTGTAAATAAATAGAGGCTGGATTTCCAGGGAGGGAAGTTAGCTTCCAGCAGGACGGTGGTGGTGTTTTGCATATGTTAATTACACAACCCTTTTATGACAGATAGACACAGTGTTTGCATAGCTATTTCTCAAAAGACCCATAGACCAAAATGGATCTTTTCATTTCCTGGCACAGAGTAGTTTCTCTCATTTGATCTCACTTCAAAATCTGAAGTTATCAAAGCATGCCACCCCAACTAGTCAATTAAAAAAATAGACCTATCTATACAATTCCAGCAGGAACAAATGCACATCTTCTGCAATCTTTAAAATTCAAACTCGACATGCCTCACTGACACCTGTGACAAATCCATTGTCACTTCCTAGGTTGTCTTCCCATAGCTCTAACCTCAGCATGTCACCCTTTGCTCCAAAATACCCTTACATACCTTGTTTCTCAGACACAGTCTGTTTTTAAGACAAGGTCATTGCCTTCTTTTTCTTTAGGTTAGACATATTTCACTTGGCTTGCACGGTGTTTAAAATCAGAGTACTTCACATAAAAATGTAAATGCCCAGCTTTTCCTTCCGAATTGGAAGGCCTAGCAATCCTAGGCTGTTCTTTCCACCAGAAGCTGTTGGCATAATCCTAGTAGTTCTTCCCTCTTCTCCTCTCTCCTGTTTGCAGCAGTCCCCACTACTCCTTAGCATACACCCATCCCACGTCACCCAGTTAGGTTACCTCCCTAGCCCACGAAAGCATTTGTGTTTTTAATCCCTGATTTAAGCCATGCCTTGGCTGATACATTTACAACTTTTTTGTTTATCTTGGGTAACATTACATATTATAAATTACTGAATCCAAAATAAAGGAAGATCGTGGCAGGCTATAATAATGAACCATAGGTGTGACTGTCATTTTTTGAGATGCAGAGATACAAATATATTTCCACTTAATTTAAACACAGATTAGACAAATTGGATCTTTTTTTTTTTTTTGAAAACCATGCTGTGTATAATCATATTCCTCAAACAACAGAAAATGTTTCCATATCATTCATTTGGCTAAATCTTTGGTATAATCTTTGAAATGTCACTTTGGCTTATTGATTTGCTCAACCTAACAATAGTCCTCAGGCTCTTACAGTCTCTTTCAGACAAGCATAGTGGGCCTTGGGTCTGCTCTGCCTGGTCTGCATTTTATTCCTCCTCACTAGATCCACAGTTCTGTTGGTGGTCCCTTTGTCCTTCCAAGAGTCACATCTGGGTTCTCTTCTCGGCTTTGAATTTGGGCAGGTCACTGTTCTCCTTAAACATGCTCACGAGTTTCTTTCTAAACTGCAGATTCTAAGTGTCACCCTCAAAGACTATGACCAGATCAATGCAGAAAGCTTAACTCTACTCTTCCATCCACCCTTCTGTTTTAAGGGGAATTTAAAGCAGGGTAGAGGGGAATGGTTGGGGACTTTGGAAACAGACAGGCTCAAATTCCAAATTTCACTTTGCCTGTGTAAGACCTGCCTTTACCTCAGTTTTCTTATCTGTAAAATGTGGAAAATTCCACTTACCTCACAGGGTTCTTCTAAATATAATTGCAAATGTGTATTTTAAAGACATTCAGTGAGTTAGTCCTATGGGTCAGTGTCACATGCTATATATCCTTTTGTTCCATTCCCGATCTCAGATCACCATACATTTTTTCAGTCTTTATTTGCTGATGAACACACACAGAGAGAAAGTCCTTTCTTCATTTCTTCACCTTTCTTCCTGCCACTATCTATGATGGATTGTATATGCCTGAAAATTCCTTGACTTTGTCCTATCTTAGCTCTTCCCTAGAACCTGTTACATACCAGGGAAAATAGAAGCAGCTTCTGCAGAGCTGGGTTCCAGTAAAGCTTGGGTTTAGGTTGGAGAGACCGTCCTCCTTCAAGAATACAGAGGGGGTGTCTTCCTTTGAGGTCTGGGGAAGCTTGTTCTTTTATCTCTCTTACCTCTCACCCCCAAGGAAAGGAGAATAAGGCTGCACATAAGTGATAATTCCAAAACTGCCTGTATTGAATATTTTTATAACCAAATTGCATGTGTGGATATTATAATAGATAATCTGAATGTGCTATACATATCCTACATAAAACATAAAGGGTTGCTTGTGTCTATCTCACATGCATTTTAAAAGCTCATTTTAATGTTTAATGCTCCTAACAGTCACCTAAATCTCAAAAGGTAAGCAGGAAATACCATATAAAAGACCCAGAGTCTAAAACAAATGTTACTGATATAATCTGAGATTTGCTTTCCTCCTCCCACACCCTAAATACCCCAACTCTCATTATTCTAGTTTCTAGAGACCACAAACATGGCAAAACCCATTTCCTCCTTTATAGCTGTATGAAGTACTTTTGAAGTGGAAGTTATGAAAAGATACAGGGAATATCCACACTCTTATAGCCAGTATTCATAAATAATTTTTAAATTCGACCTTTTGCATTTTTTTAATTTGCATTGTTAATTTTTAAATATAAATCAAAATTATAGTGTATTAGGTAACACTCATCACTTAGCCAGTCAGTCTAATGACTTCGGGGACTAGAGTATGTCAATTTGTGGTGGCACTGAGGGGCTGCTATCTTTAGCAGCTGGTGTGCGGGGCAATTCTTTGGCAAACTTGCTAAATCCCCTGGCACAGCTCTAGGCTAGGCTATTCACTTGAGTATTGGATGATTCCTCAGCAAAGTGAAGAGAATGCCTTTTAGCGGAGATGTGGTTGTTTAGATCATTCATTTAAGATGTAAATGTCAGAAAACACTAGGACTTTTTATTTTCCTGTTCTGATCTTGATGAGTATTTCAGTGTCTTTTGTATGTGTAGGCGTGTGTATGTATGTGTGTAGATTCTGGCCTGCTGGGTGATTGGGTATTCTCTCTTGGTCTACTTTTCTATTGTGTGTGAAAATGTGCTTTCTGGAAGAAAACTCTTCTCTTGCCGAGATGCAGGGGAGAGCCAGAAAGTGGGAAGCAAGGGAAAGAAGAAGTAAGAGAATAGTTTTAAAGGAAGAAACAAAGGAAGGAAGGAAGAAAGAAGTTATTTTCTCTCCATTTAATGAAAAATTAAACTTTAGAGATAATCAGGAATACCAAAAGATTGGCTGAATTCTTCAAGCTCACAGTATAGAATGAGTGTCAATTCCTTCACTTCTGTTAAAAGATCATCTTTCCTTTGCTTAGAATCATGTTGCAGCTGATCTAATTGGTCTGAACTCAATTTTAGTGGGAGACTGTGGGCAGGCTGGTGAAGAAAGAACATGGTCAAGTGAAATTTTAAAAATGCACGCTTTTCTGCTACAAAAGCAATTTCAAAATCTCCACTCTCCTCCTTTCCCCAAAACCTGGACTCAAAATTGGTGAACTTTGCATTTCAACTTTGAATGTGTCTAGCACAGAGTAAGGACAGCTCTCCTGGGTAATTTTGGGAAAATATATGTATTAAAAATGAAGTTATAACAAAGTGAAAATTGCTTTTGAACATCCATAGTAGTAAAATCCATATACCGCTATTTCCTTACTATTTTAATATAGAATTTTTGCGTGAGAGTCAAGTAGCCATGGCTTTTAGCTTCTGAGAAGAGGTAAATCATGCCTTCTGTATGTAGTTATTTTATTTTTGTATATAAATGCCATCTCCTAATATAATTTGTTTTCTAGCCCCTATTTTTTTCTTTTTATTTAAAGGTAAAAAGTTTCTAAATGCCTTTTAAAAGGTGCTAGTATTTTAAAAGCATAAACAATAAAGAAAACTAGTTGCAATTCATAATTTCCAATCAAATCAATCCCATTTAATAATTATGGATTTTGGATCTCTTTTTTTGGCGAGGGAAGGCTAGGAAACACATATTTTCCTCCCATAGTTTCCTCTTAGGTGGGACAGGACATATGCTATCCTATTCCTCATTGTCATTCTTCATTTTGATCAAATTTCTCTTTGCATGTGGTCTTCATATTGAAAGGCGGCCATCAAAAGGGACTCCTTTCCTCATCCTCAGACACATTCCCTCCTTTTGCCCACACAGGGAGAGGCATGTGCCTGGGCACCCCCAGCAGAGGGCAAAAGTGGGTTAGAGAGGCAGCCTTGGAAGACCTTACCTTTCTGATGGCTGAGTGAGCCCTCCTTAAGGGCTTCTTCTTTCCTCCTATGCATATTTGTGGAACTTTCTTTTTTCTTCCAGAGTTTACTAAGAACAAACAAAATAGCAACAACAACAAACACAATGGGACAAATCTTGGAAAAAACTCAGTGTAAGTTACATTTTTAACCACCATATATATATTTTCAACTTCAGGTTTTTCTGAAATTACCATGGTATATACAATCTCTAAGATAAATGGACCAACTTGTAAGTGGATATGCATTTTGATAATTATTTTCACCCCACTTCCCTAAAATAGGAAGTGATGAGATATCTGAAATAGCAATATTCAGGGGCCTAATTTCACCCTTTGAGTGGACAGCAGAAGTGGGAGGAGGGTAAGGGAGAGGGATGGACAAGCCAGTGGTTTCTCTATGTGAGGAAAAATCAGGAGTGAGTAGAAGAAGGGCACTATAAGAAAGAGATTATATGCTATAGGAGAAATAGCACTGGATTTAGACTGAAAACACAGGGGTCTCAGCCTTTGTGCTGCCATTTACTGGTGGCATAATCTCAGGTTACATGGTCTCTCTAGATTCTATGTTCTCCTCTAGACTGTTTTGAAACAGGCTTCTCTTCTAACAGAGACTGCTGCTGTTTCTACAATATGGTGAGTTCTCATATACTAAGTAACTCAACTGTGTCCATCTGTACTAGGATCCTCTTGAAGTCCCAATTAATCTAGGCCACAACTGATTATTTTCAGAAAGGCCTGACTCCCCCCAGGCATCAGTTTGCTCAACTAATTCTGCTGGAAACTTTGGGGACAGGTAATTCCTCCCTGCCTCACAGCCCTAATACATTTGTCACCGCCCTTTGGTCATCTGTCCATTTGCATAAGCTGGCTCTCTCCAGAGGACCAGGCTTCCTCTCTAGCATAGGCTCAACTTAATGTGTAGTTGGAAGAAAAGGTTTGTGTTCTTCTCATTCTCCAGGATTGCTTTCAGGTTATTACACCTTTACCCTTGGGCAAAATCAACCCAATTCTTTGAGGCTTCATGTCTTCCCACGGAGCAGTCATTTAATACCTTCTAGTTGGTGACATCTACAAACCTCCTGGCCTTCACTGATGACTTTGAAGCCTGGTTCACTCTCTTCCATGCCAGTTCTGACATGATCCTGGCACCTTGGTGCTATGTGAACAAGCTGGAATGCTAGACTGTGTGTTTCTTTACTTATTGAATTCTAGTGTCCTTTGCATTTAGCTATTCATATCTCTTCACTGCCCTTAACTTTTTCAGGAACTATTCCACTAGAGAACCCTTGAATTCAGCACTCTAGCAAAAAAATCTTGCCATCTATTACTCCCAATCTACTTACCCATAACCTCCTGTAGTTACTTGCATGTGCCAAATTGATGATCTGTAATTGGGTTAAAGACTAGATATAGGAGAAGTGGGATTTTTCACCTGGATCTTAAAAAGATTGACAGTTTTTCATGAAGTCAGGGAAGTGAAACTTGTTGGTAGGAGTGGGCATTGAGGGGGTGGAAAAAGGGAGTCGATTTGCACCTTGTTTATCAAATGACTTTCCAGTAAAGGTTTAGATAGCAACTCTGAGGCAGAATTCAACATCTGACCCACTTGGGTTGTTTTTAAAGTGCCTAATGATGAAAATACATTTTCATCTAACTCATTGTATAAGAAATTTATTTCTGGTAAGTTAAAATGTATTGTTGGATTTCTCCAGACTCACTCCTCATGGTGTTTCAATTGTACACAGGCGATACAACTAAGGAAGAAAACACAACGTGCACACTCTTCTTCCTTTCTTCTTTCCTTCACTCATTAATTCAACAGATATTTTCCAAAAACCTACAATGCACCTGATTGCATACTTGGTTTATCTATGTCCAGATGCAGATCACCTGATACATTCTTGACTTGTTCTGTTAACTATTTCATTCCTCACAAACTGAAGGAAGCAACAAGGGAAACTGCTACTCTGTTTGTAATTCTTGCTAATAAGGAAGGTTCATTTAGTCAAAAGTACTGTAGGACAAAATGACCATCTCATCTTGGAGTCTAAAATCACAGCAAGCATAACCAAACCTGTGCCCTCAATATTTGAAAAACATATTTCAATACCTCTTTACAGAGAAGAGAGATGTGGCCTCATGCTTGGGACCCTGATAGATAAGGCTCTAAGAAGGATGGGGATAGGGAGAGGGGATTAAAAAAGTGGTTCTGATGGTAAAATCCATGGCCTTGATTAATATAAAAAAGGAGCATCTTATCATTCATGAAGAAAACAAGTGAGATGTTAGATGGAGATGGGAACATGTCCAAAGGTGAACACACAAAAATGCAGCCTTATTAGAGAAAAGCCTCTTAGAAAAAGTTTCTAGTATAGTCTAATATGCTTAGTAAGAAGAATAAGAAAAGAATTAGTTCACTGTCTGGGAGTGGTGGTACCAGCCTAACTTAATGACAGAGTAGAAGTAAAACTGCTTTAACATATTTTGCCTTTTTATTCTCTGTCAGGAAACATGAGCTTTAAATTGAAGAGGGTGGAGTCAGTATGATTTAGGATGAAGTGCCGCCATGCTGAACATGAAGACAGGAAATCACCCAGCTGCTCAAATGAGTTACTCTCCAGGCTAGGAGGAATGAAATCATAGAACTCATAAAGAAATTTCAAATGGGGCTCTCTGGGGGAAATCTTCAGAAAAAGGAGGTGCCAGAACATTCAAGATGAGTACATGAAATTCTGAATTTTAAATTTACAAGAGGTTAAATTATAAAAACTGCAGATCACTGAGGCTTTATGGCAATCTTAGCATAATTCTATGAAAAAAACTTTAGTAAAAGATTTTTGAGTACTTGGAAAAAGAGGTAGCAGGTTAGCAGGTACATGATATAAGAAGGATTGATTCACTAAGAGAAAAGTCTCCACGAGTTTTTGTTAGGTTTTTGATTGTCAAGTTTGATTTCAGGGGTTTTGTCTCATAAATCAAGAATTCTATACATATACATAATTCTGATTTCTTGCAGACATTTGACAACACTTTTTTATGACATGCTTGCAGAAAAGATGAAAGAATATGTTCTGGATAATAGAATTGTGAAAATGTGAGTAAAGAATGCATTGGTTTGCCAGGATTGGTGGCTCACATCTATCATCCCAGCACTTGGGAGGCCAAGGTGGGTGGATCACTTGAGTCCAGGAGTTTAAGACCAGCCTGGGCAACATAGTGAGACCTCATCTGTGCAAAAAAATAAACAAAATTAGCCAGGCATTTGTGGCACATGCCTGTAGTGCTAGCTACTTGAGAGGCTGAGGTTGGAGGATTGCATGAGCCCAGGAGGTTAAGGTTGTAGTGAGCTGAGATCACACCACTGCATTCCAACCTGGGCAACAGAGTGAGACTCTGTCTCAAAAAAAAAAAAAAAAAAGAATGGGTTAATTGTGCATCATTAACTGGAAATGTAGCTTTAGTGGAATACCACAAGACTTTGACTGCATCCTGTTGTCAAAATACCATACTCTATAGAAAAGTTTTAATAATGGCAGTTCATTAAGACTGTACTATTTGTCAGATATGTAAATAGAATACCTCTTTTAATTGTTGGAATCAACTTACCAGGCTGGAATTATTACCCTATTTTATAGATGAGAAAACAGTCATTTCCAAGTGCCATACTGATAATGCTGAGAGGTTAAGAAGTGTATCAGTGTTACAGAGCTAATACATGGCAGAACTGGAATTCAGAACCAATTCCATCTGATTTCAGAACTCACTAATGACTCTATGGGATCATTAGAAATTCTCAGCCCCAGTTTTCAGGTAAAGAAAAAGAGGCTTGGTGAGTATGAAATTTGCCTGTGATTACAGAGCTAGTAAAATCAAAACCAGAACTTGAATTCAGTTCTTTTGATTCCAGGTCCAGTGTTCTTCATAAAGATATGAACAAGTAGAATAATAGGTTAAAACATAAAACAATAATAATGATGATGATAGGGCTAAAATTTAAATCTTTCATTTAGATTAAAAATTATTTTGGGAAATACATAATTAACATCTGACTTACCAAGAATTTCTGTAAAGAAAACTAAGGCAGTAGTCCTCAAAGTGTGGTCCCTTGACTAGAAATGTCAACATCATATGGCAAATGCCAAACCTTGTGCTTTACTCAGAGCAATTAAATCAGAAACTTGGTAGAAGGGATTGGGGAGAGACATGGTAGACTTCATTTTAACAAGTCCACTAAGTGATTCTGAGGCATACCAAATTGTAGATCTACCAAGCTAAGGAATTTAGTTGAAAAGCAGTCATCAAAAGCAAAAGTGAGAACACAAACATGTCACTAGGCTTACATCCAGGGAACAGCACTCTGGATGTTTACTTATTAAAGAACCTGTAGTGTCTAAGCCTGCTCAAGATGACTAATATAGCTTTCATGTGAGAGAGGAATTAGCTTATTCTGATGTCACAAAATTTAAAAAGCGATTGCATTTTTGAGTTAAAATAATTCCCAGGAAGCACTGCTCTGACTGAACTCCCTTATGTGATATGAAAGGAAACTAAAGTGAAGCAGTTTGCCAACACTCATAGAGCTGGCCAGATACAGTCTGAAACTCATGAAGGAGGGATTCTATCAACTTTTTTAGGAAAAAAAGCAATTTTCTTTTGTTAGAATCCCTTTTTTGTTTCAGTTTGCTTATATCCTCCCTTACCTTGGAGAGTCATGAGGTCCCTATCCATGGTCATAAAACATATGGGGTGAGTACCATATTGTCAGAGGTTGGTAGGGTGAGGATTCCTGTGTCTATTAGAGTGTTGGACTAGAATTGTTTTATCTTTTAAATATTCGATCTTACCAATAATTGCATTTGGGATTTTGAGGAAAAGTGGTAAAGAATCAAAATCACCTTTAAATTTATTATTACTATTATTATTAAAAGTAAGTGAGTTAAAAGTAGGGGTCCGAAATAGTGGCTGAAAGAGAGAGCATAGCTCTTCCCTGGAGAGTCATTTTTCTGCCTTGTATTTCTGGATTTCCTTTCTAATGACTTCTTGGATAAACCCTGTGGCTGTTTTGCATTAAAATGTGCCCCAATCCACACCCTAGTAAGAAGTAAGTCCTGACACAGTGGAGTTGCTAATAGCCTAAGTCTGGTACTTCTTCAGTTTTCCAGCTTGATGTCCTTTTCCCAGTTTATTCTTTGAATTCTCAGTTCTTAATTTCTAGCTTCATCGCCTCACTGTGGACTTAAAATTTCTTCCTAAAGCTCTCCCAATTAATGGTTAGATTCTCTTCTTGTATCTGTGGACCCTTGTTTTCCCTCCCCACCTCTGAGCTACATTTTCTCTTTGGATCACTTCTGGCTGTTCTGAGAAACACTTCATGGGGACCAGCCACTCTGAAGGTCACATGGCTAGGGTCCTCAGGGGTTCTCCCTTAAGGCTGACAGAAACACCATGGCTACTTCTTGGAATTTAAAGTTTGCTACAATTAGCACATTCAAAACACTTGCAGCTGAGTGTAGGAAAATCTGGAATTAGGAGGAACACAGGTGATTTGTAGAAAGCCAAAGGTGAGAGCTGGATAGGAAAGGTGCTTGATGCAAGGTCAGATGGATACAGAGAAAGGCCACAAGTAGAAGTAGGTTTTGGAGTGAGTTTACTAACTAATTATTGGCGACTCCAAGGTAATTTTTAGGTCCCCCAGCAGGTAGGCTGGATTAACTTTAAAGTTGCTTTAAACTCACCAGATAAGTCCATGAGTTGGACGATAAAAATGACTAATTTTTTAGACTCATTTAATTTCCTCAGCTCCGCTTTGGGTAAATCCATCAGGGGGTTGATAAAATATATTGCTGGTGGTAGATCAGGGAGTTTAAACTTGTAAATACACCCAAAGTCATACCTTTTGGGAACTTTGTTCATAGTAATTTTTTGTTGGTTTCTTCATACAGGTCTTGTTACTCATAATTACATAGAATGCAGTTGGCAGACTATGGCAGACAGGCCAAATTGGGCAGGAGCAGCCTGTTTTTGACCCTAGAATGATTTTTACAATTTTAAAGGGTTGTAACAAAGAAGTGTATGTGACAGAGACCATAAAACCAGGAAAGAAGAAAAACAAAAAAAAAGTGTGACAGAAACCAAATGTGACTCTTTACAGAAAAATGTGCTGACCCGATGTAGAATTTACTCACTGTAAAGCTATTCTTTATGATCCAAGAGCCAAGAAAGTTTTGTTTTACTTCATATTTAATAAAAATCCATTGTGACTTTTAATTTTATGTTTAATTTTACCTGTATTTCTCAGTACTATATTCCTTTTCCAGTTTCACTTCATAAGGAAATTAAATAATGTTTCTATTTATTTCTGAAATTAAAACAATTAGATAATGTAAGTATCTGTATAGATGAAATCTATTAACTTGCTAATGTGGTCATGAGAAGTTTGGTATTTTTATGGGACTTTCAAATGAAGATGCTTGGGAGGAGCTGAAACCACAGATCTGGAGTTCAAGACAGAGGTCTGGGTCAGAGGTAAATATTTTGGAATTTCTGCCCTGTAAGTATGATAACTGTCCATTTCCGAGGGTTCAATATATCCATGGGAATATCTATACTAACCTTAACATTTATTTAACCCAAGCCTGCAGCTTGCTTTAGTTTTCGAGTTTAACGGAGTAGGCAGCCATGTCATTAGCATGTCCACAAAATAGTATCTTTTCTCCCAAAATAGTATCTGTTAGCTCCTCAAAGACAAGGTGTCTACTTTCTGATTCCTGAACCCATGGTGCCAATTGAGTGATTGTCACAGAATGGGAAATCAATACATGTTGAATCAATAAATGAATGGACCAGGCAGACATGGCAAGGCATAATTATGATACATCATGCAGAAGGCTATAACAGTGATATTAACAATGTGCTCTGGAATGTGGAGGTGCGGAGCCTGCCTGGGTAAGTCTGGGAAAGCAACATGAATTCAATTCTTCAGAGATGAATAATTTGCCACATACAGAAGAAGGGAAAAGGAATTTCAGAAATTGAGAAGTATATGCAAAAGTGAAGAGGAATACAAAAGTATTCCAAAAATTCAATGTGACTAAAAGTTTGGTGCAAGGGAGCCTGTATGTGTGAGGAGAAGGCAGGAGACTAGTGAGGCTGGTCCAGGGCTTTTGGCATTTGGGGGATCTGGAACAGCATCCCAGCAAAAAATAAGTGCTAAACAGGGAGAGAAGACATGTTGGCTACTCTAATGAACAACCAGGCCTTTGCCTTGTTCATAGCGGCCTGAACTAGGCTGGGTTAATCTGAGACACAAAGTAGTGTTTGTCTGGAGGAACAGTGGTTGGTATTTTTAACGTGTTACAATATCTTAAATATATTCCTGTGATTTTCGGCAGGTGGAAAAGCCTTAATACAGAGGCAATGAAAGCAAATGTCCTGAGCAGGAGCTTAGGAGATGAGGATTCTATTGATCTTATTCCCAGCTCTTAAGCCTCTAGCTGTAAAACCTTGGGCAAATGCTTCCTTGTCCTGGATCTTAACTCCTCTAGGGATTCCTGTTAATCAACTTTGTTTCCCTACTTTCAGCACTGATTCTGGCTCATAGAGAAGTTCAATAAATGATTGTTAAAAAATACAGAACTTTGTCCCTTTTATAAAAAGAGGTAATTAGATTAAAATAAGACAATCAACAAGGAATATTCTAGTCTTGACATTTTACGACTTCATGACCTTAATTTCTTATTTTTAATAGCACAGACAAACCCATAACAAATGGAAACATCATATTTGTGTGTTGCTTAACGATTTACAAAATATTTATACCTATTTTCTCTCAGTAAAGTCCAATAAACCTGATAGCTAGGTTTAATCATTCACATTTTAAGGACAAAATTGAAGCTAGAGACAGGAGCTAATAAAGTAATGGAGCCTGGATTTAAATCCAAATTACCTGATTGCAAATTGAGTGTTTTCCCACCCACTGCATGTCTTCTCCCACCATTTTGAGAACCATACTTTTCTTGTCTGTGTCACATCTCCCTTTAGTGCATTTGCCCCACCTCTCTCTGTAATATGACATTGCAACGAAGCCTGTTGTGGAATTTTAGATGAGAGAATGCAGCTTATCTGAGGAACCTGAGACAGAGCCAACATGTCTAGCAATAAAAATAATAATGACATTTTGGAAACCTCACCTTTCAATTATCAGCTGTGACAGTGAGTACACATTTGCAAGGAGGTAACCTTCTCTCCCAAAAAGCAGGAAGGGCCCATTGCCTGGAATCACATGCAGAGATAACCAGACACATCTGTTCTGCTTTCCACTGTGCTTGCCTTGAGTTTCTTGAGGAAGTCTAATCTTGACACTGAGTGACATGAGGCACTCAGTAAGTTGAATGTAAATGAATCCAAATTCTGAGGAAACAGAGGAAAGCCCATTTTTAAACATTCTATCAGAGTTCTTTGGATAAAGGCTCAATTACATTAAATTAAGCAGCCGGCTAGCAAGGCTAAAAGAGTTAGTAGACAAATACAATGTGCTCTTTTACAATAGCTCCAAGAACTATAGGTCAGCTTCTGCTTCTGTTGGGAAAATAACATGAGGGGGACATTTGTAAAGGGCCTATCATTGTCTTGATAAGTTGATACCGAAACTGGTAATCAGTGGAATTGGAGGCATCCTATTTCTTGTTTGAATAGAAGTGAGGCAGAGACACAAAGAGAGAGTCCATCTCAATTTGTCCTAGTATTTCCTGATTCAGATCTCTCAAGCTAGTATCTCTTACTTAGTCATACCTTAGGTGTAGCTTCCAGGGAAAGTCAATGATACAGTACACGATAAGGAGTAATTATAGGAGATTGGATTAGGTGATTTTTCTTTTACGAAAGCAGGCACACACAATAGAAGTTCTTATTGCATAAACAAATGGAAAAAATATTTAAGTAGATTCTCCTGAAATATATCTTTGAGAATAGTAAAATTTTGTTTGCAATGCAGTATAATATCTTCCAGTTATTAAATGCACAGGTGCTCTCCTGTGTAAGAATTTCTAGAAGGGAAAACCCAAGACATTGAATATTATGTTAAATCCCTGGTTTTATATGGGAGAAAAATGTTACCCTGTACTGTTTGAGGTGTCTGGATATCCATATACTCAGCTACAAAGGCATTTTGGTCCACAGATAATTGGATATGCTTTAGTTAGGAAGGAGTTTTAAGTGCCTTTCCCTTTGCTGTTTCTGATGACTCTCTCAAGTATTTCTGTGGTTAGAACTTGGGAATTGGCACAGACACCACTGCTGCAATTAATTGTCTCCTTTTTACACCACAAGCCACTATTGTCTGTGTTCTACTGAGTAAAGGCCATACCCTGCCATTAATTCTTTCCCTACACTGTCTACTTATTGCAAAGGGAGTGCTGCTCCCAAATTAATGGCAGAGAATGTCCCCAGGTACTTGGGGGTTTGCAAGTTGTGGTTCTGAAAACCATGAATTAGACAGTCAGGATATATGGGCACAAGTGACATCGAAGGCATTTTAACCCTCTGTCTTCCAAAGTTACGGTCAAAAGTGCCCCAATGCAGTTATCATTTATTTTCTGCCTGAAATTTCTTCTTCCCTATAATTTTGTGCTGTGAATTTAATATTGCACTATTATGTTTCTCTGAGGATGTGCTATATATACTTTTGAATAGTTATGAATATCATTGTGCAGCCTCTGATCAGACAATCATTTCTTTCCCGCCCTGCAGGGCCTGACTTACTACATAGCTAGTCGAGAGCTCAGTGTTCCTCTCTCTCTCTGCCCCAGTTTATCTATAGTACATTTATTCTGTAGCACATTGTGAGCCCAAGATGCTTAACCAATGCCTCAGATTCTTTGGGTAAAAGCAATTCTAAAACAAATGATGATTTCTCATATTTACATAGTTATCAAATCCCTTTTACACATAAGTCTTTCTTTGATCTTCACAGCAATCTTGAAGGTGGACTGGCCAAGTATTAGAAACCATTTTCCATGGGTGGGTGTAAGTAATATATTCTCATGACCATCAGGACACCTCATCTGATAATGGCTATTTAACATCAATGATGTATTTAAATTTCAGCTATACCACTCAATGGTACTGTGACTAGAATAACTTTCTGGTTTAAATAACTGAAAAAAAAAAGCTTTCTTTTTGTCTGTTATTTGAATTAGGTTTAGTTTTACTGTAGAATAATTTTCTAGTAACTAGAAATCCTTATAAAAATCTTTATAGCTAGTGGTGAAACAATTGATTTATGTTACTTCAAAAGTTAGATTAAGAAATCTTTTTATGTAATTAGTAGTCATTCGGAGTTTCTTTCTGTGACGTCTGTGTTCAGGTTATTAGCCAATATTTTTATTAAGTTATCTAATTTTTCCAATTAAATTTGTAGTTTACTTAGGATCCTAATTTGATGAGAAGTTATCAAAACGTTTACATATTAATTCATTACAAATAACAGTAATAAACCATACATGTTAACACAATTAATATATTCAGTGAAAAATATATGTTCAAAAATAAAACTCAATATAAAGAGTGACATTGTTTTATTTTTTTTTTGTAAATCTCTTTAATGTCTGGCTTAATAGAAAATGACTAAATTCCAATTCCTACTTCTTTATTTAATTTGCTGTGATTATTTTTTATTTGCCTGGTATTCAGTGATGTGGGTGTACTAGACTTTGTTCAGCTATTGTCCAACTGATGGAAATTTACTTTGCTTCCAGTTTCATGTTTTCTGTTTTGTTTTTGACATCACAAATAATGCTGCAATAAACATCCTCATATGTTTAAAAACATTTTCGGAACTACTGGTATTTCTTAAGAGCCAACATGAATCAGAACTTTTTACTCATTAGATCCTATAACTGGCACGAGAAAGCTAGAATGAATTAATTACCCCTGGTTACGTAGTAAATTGCAGACTAGGGAGGCAGAGGCAGGACTGCTGATTCCTACCTTGCTATCTACATCTGGCAGACAGGACTCTGGTTGGGCATGTCCAAGGCCCTGTTCAATCACGTGATACAGCTGCTTCTCTGAACAGTGGTGCTCTGTCTCTTACCAGAGGTCATCAGCTGCTGGCTCCATGCCCACTCAAGGCCTGACAGCCTTCCGTTTAGATCCCAAGAGTGGGTCGTATAGGGCTGCACCATCATGTTATGGAGACTGAGAAATTGTTCCTTCCTTTAATCCTAAATCCACAGGGGGCTCTGCTCCATGAATTTGTGATGATATATTTTCTCTTGGTCTTAAGCTCAGAATATACTGACTATTGTTAAGAAATTCAAAAATAGTCTGTGCTTTATAAAAATCAAAATGACATTCCTGTGAGGTTGGCAAGGGAGCAAGCCTTTTCCTTTTATGGCTGATGAAATCAGCTCATATAAACATTAAGTAAAATGCTGAAGATCACACAAGTAGTACACACCATCCGCACTAGGAAGAAGGTATGTGGAATCAAAAGCGCCACTTGTGTTCCTGGGGCCATTCCTTTTATCTGCCTTGGCTTTTGTGGAGTGAAGCATGTTACTGAAAATAGACTTTCATGTTCTGAGAGGTCTTAAAATGCAGATTTGATGAACACTACTTTCATACTGTTCAGAACCGTTCTGGAATTCTTCCAACTGAAACTTTTGTTTGCATCATTTTATGTTGTTTATTCCCTTCAAATTGCATATAAGGCAATTTATGAGAGAGCCATATATAATAAAACTATTAAGGTAAGTACAAAAACCCACAATAAAATCCAAGTAAAAGGGGGAGGAGAATTTTTCTTACTGCTTGCCTGCTTTCCTGCCTTTCTTTCTGCCTGAATAATTTAGTCCAAAAGTTATTATGTGGGGTTGACCAAGGTGGGGATTCATGAGGGTGTTAGAAGCTGGGAGGGCAACAGCAGAAGCAGATTGACCTGAGTTGTCAGAGTCTGTGTACACTGACAAAAGATGTCCCTGAGGGTGGATGATGGCAATGGCCCAGAGTGAGGTGTGGGAACCGTGGTGTGAGATGTTTAGGCACAGCAGAGATTAAAGTAATAAATATAATAAGGATAATATGTTAGTATAACAATGATAACAGAAATTAGATTCCTCATTATTGGAGAATAGTGTCAAATATATGGAAAGGGAAAAACAAGAATAAACTTTGTGATGTTGAATTGGATACACACACACACACACACACACACACTATATATATATATATGGGTCTAGGAGCAATGACACTTCAATAACAAAGAAAACATGAAGTGCCCAGATCCTGGTTTCTTAAATACAATTCTCCCCTAAAAGGATTCAGATCCCCTTGGAAAAACAATAGGTTTTATGGTTAGGTCTGGGGAGGTAAAACATAACCCTGGACTATCTTGCACCAGAAACTAAGGTAGTGTTCAGCACAGATGCCAGCTTGAAGGGGCTCTCCCTGCCACAATCTGGGATAATTTGAGCCTCAAAATAACAAATATTCATATAAAGATATAAATGAATAAACGGTGAAAAAGAAAGCTTTTATTAACTAATGAATTTACAAGGTGTGATTGAATTAGGATACTAATACACACAGAGGGGAGTCATTGATTAGAAAATCACCATTTGTCAGACATTAAAAGATGCCAAACACGACCAGTGGGTAAAAGTTTGGTAAGTATTGGAATCTACCTAGTCTCAGAGTATCTACCCCTAAATACTTACTAATTACAAAGAGAAAAGGAGGAACTTTATAGTAGAGAAACCCTAGCTAACTCTACCATCATCAAATTATCAAAGGTGACATCATAAGCAAAAGAACAACTCAAAATCATGTGTCATCTGATAAGAATGAAAAGAAGAATATAGCATACCTTATGTAACTTTTCTGCCAAAAATAATTTTAAAAACCCACCTCAACCTAATCGTAAAGAAATATCAGATAAACCCAGATAGGGGGACATTATAGAAACTGGCCTTTATTATTCAAAACAGTCAAGGTCATACAAGTCAAGGAAGAAATGAACTGTTTGAGACTGAAGGAGACTAAAGAGATACAACAACTAATGTAATGCATAATTTGGGACATCCGTTTGTCACTAATGACATTATGGGAACAACTGGTGAAACTTCAGTGAAATCTGTGGATTTTATGATGATAATGTATCAATGTAATTTCCTGATTTTGATGTTTTTATTGAGGTTATGTAGGAGAATGTCTCTGCAGGAATTACACACTAAAATATTCAGAGGTGATGGGGAATCTTGTTGGTAAACTTACTTTCAAATGGCTCAGAGGAAAATATGTGTTTTTTTTTTTTGTATTGTACTTGCAAATTTTTTATTGTTTAAAATATTTCAGAGAAAAAATTAAACAGGAAAAGGGAGAGCTGTATAAAAATGTCTTAGTTAAAACTGTACTCAGATTGAACATACAATTTAGTTTTGAGTTTCCAGCAGTTAACACGGCAAGGTAAACAATAAAGTCAGGTGGCAAAACAGCCTGTTAAGAGCAACCAATTTTCCTTGTACCAAAGTCCATGAGAAGTCTATGGTATGGAGTTTATGTTTGTAACACCTATTTAATTATAGTTCTTCCATACCATAGCTCAATTTACAGAAGCAGTTACTTTCTATCATTACACTTTTCTTGTAGATGATTTTCCCACTAGTTTTAGTCATTCTGAAATAGTTTAGTCTCCAGACAAATATTTTCTGCAGTAGGTTGAAATAATCACTTCTACATGTCCCCATTTGATTCTGTTTGTCTGGAGAGGGATCTTGGGTGCCAGAGTATGTGGAGGGTACACTTTTAGATAAGAAAGAACAACTCCTGGATTTCTTCTTTACAATAATAAATATTTCTGATCTAAAGGTACACTCTGCCATGACATATATTTGGGAAACTGAATAAGCATTTGTAAATAATTATGTGGTTGTAACAATTCAGGTAAGTAATATAGGGAGGATTGGTTGCTGTACACAAACATTAAAGTCTTTTTCATGACATGTCAAACCCATGTATATCTAAGAATAAGAGCTACACCTTATGAACATCTATTATGTACCAGGCACTCTGCCTATATTACCTGCAGTCCTAGACAGAGCCTACAAGGAAGGTGTAATTTGTGTCCTCTTTAAAGAGAGGAAGCTGAAAGTCAGAACACTTAACTGCTATGTCTAAGCACACAGATAGTATTTGATGGAGTTTGGATTCAACCCCCAGTCTGACTGGGTCCAAAGCTTATCTTCTTTCCACCATATCTGTGGTCGCTGTTATCAGTTTTATTTTCTATGCTCAAGGGAAATTAAGTCTTAAGTTAGATTCCTAAAATTAAGCTTGGTCCCTAAAGTGTTTAAGTTAAATATTAGCAGTGAGATATTGCTCTCAGTCCTCAGTATCTGAGCTCTAGAAATAAGATACTGCAAGGACCTAAGCTACTTCTTGTGTTCAAATTAGGCACAATTAGAGCTGTCATATTAGCTTTTCCAATCCACCAAGACATTTTAAAGTAGTGTGTGCATTTTGAAACAGCTCTAATCTCACATATGACTTCAAGTTCTGAAAGCATTATTATCCTTCCTATTGGTTAAAATTCCACACTAGGTTCTTGACAGGTCCAGAGGCATATGATTCATAATAGGCTGTATTTTATTCCTAATTGAGAATATGATACTATCCTGGGAATCGTGGGGAGCCTTGTGACAGAAGAGGCTGTTTCTAAGTAATACTAGGGCTGTGACCATTATCCTGTCCTTGGCATTATGGGGATAGTCAACACCTTGGATTTGGGCTTAGATGGACTCCAATTTTAATGCTAGTCTGTGCCTGAGAGATGATATATGCAGGTATGTGTATCATTTCTACCTCATTAAAAAATAATACAGGAAAGACAACAGAAAGAGATTTGAGGTAGCTGACTCTGTTTCCAGCTCTATACCCATCACGTTCGCTAGTTCTTTATTTCTTCAGTTGTCACAATATCAGTAATATTAATATCCACCTCACAGGATTGATAATATTACTTAATTCTTATGGTGGTTTTTAGATTTCAATGAGTTTATACATATAAAGTAGATTTAAAAATACCTGGCTCATAGAAAGCCCTTATGAATATTTGTTATTATTACTATTAATATATTTAAAGGGATTAACATACAGTTGTTCAAAAAATCGTAGTTTTTTCCATTCATTTCTTTAAAAAATTAGAAAAAGCATAAAATATTTTTATATATCTTTCCTTCAAAGGATCAGTAGAGCTATTTGTGATCAGGCGTGTATCCACCCACATTGCTACAAAAGATCAGAAACTATACTAGGCATTTGCCTTTGACTTTTGGATGCTGCTAATGGTGATGTAATGTACTGTTTTTGATACACCAGGGAGTTGGTCTTGCAAGCTGTATTTGATATATGTATAAGTTTCATCTTGTTATATTGTTTCTGTACACATAATATGTATCCCTCAGGATAAGAAATCATTCATGTGGAATAAATAACACTTTCTCTATGTAGGTGTACAATTATCTGAAATGTAAGGATTGACAAATGTTTGGTTAATTGAAAGTTTTACAGTAATTCAAGAGTTTGAAACAATTTTGAGATGGTGTTGGCATTCTGTCTTTTTTATTACCAAGATTCACTGGTATCAATGATTTGGGCATATTCTGCAAGTGAGTGATTTAAATTCATGGTTAATCATAGCATCATGAAATTTTGTTACAATGAGAAATATTCATTGTCTTCTAATCCAGGGATCAACAGACAATGGCCTTAATCCAGAACTAGCCAACCACCTATTTTTGTTCGGCGTGAGCTAAGAATAATTTTTAAGGCAGGGCGCAGTGGCTCACGCCTGTAATCCCAGCACTTTGGGAGACCGAGGCGGGTGGATCAGGAGGGCAGGAGATCTAGACCATCTTGGCTAACACGGTGAAACCCCGTCTCTGCTAAAAATACAAAAAAATTAGCCGGGTGTGGTGGCGGGCGCCTGTAGTCCCAGTTACTCCGGAGGCTGAGGCAGGAGAATGGTGTGAACCCGGGAGGTGGAGCTTGCAGTGAGCCGAGATCGCGCCATTGCGCTCCTGCCTGCGCGACAGAGCGAGACTCTATCTAAAAAAAAATAAAAAAGTATAATTTTTACACTAAAGCAAATAAGGATATGCAACTGAAATCATATATTTGATCTACAAAGCCTCAATTATTTAGTTTAGCCCTTTACAAAAAAGCCTACTGACCCCTGTCCTCATCCAACTCTCCCAATTTTTAACAAAAGGAGAAACTGACACTGAGAGAAGTGACATAATTCTACTTAAGATAATCCAGTTCATTGGAGGAACCTCTGGAGCCTGTGCCAACTTTCTTGACTCCTGGATTTATGCTGTAGCAGCAACATCCTGCTTTCTCAGCCATTTTTCTCTATAGGAGCTTTTACCTAGCTAATAAGAATTGCGTTTTAAAAGATAACACGAATATTTTAAACTTATGTGGCATCTACTCCCTGAAGATCTCAAGGCACTTTCACCTGGATTGAACCATTTTTGCCAGTGTAGGAGCTGCTTCTGGATGGGAAACTGGATTACTAGGTAGCAACAGCAATTTAGGTCAACTAGTTATTACATATCATCTGGATTAATAATATCTTTAAAAGGTAAGAGGTAAACATATTTAACCTGCTTATAGGAAGCAATATGATACTTAATAAAATAATCATGTTATATATTTAGGCTCCCAATTGAATTACCAAAACCCCAGACTAATGGCATTAGCTTGTCCATCCCAACCTACAGGTTTAAGCCTTGATAGATAATGGTAGAGGTGGCAGTCGTGGTATTTCAAAGTTTGAGATATGCTCAAAACTTTGGCTAAATTTTCATAAAATTATAATTTTAATTTAAACAGTATATATTTGGACATCACTGGAAGGATCCCAGATGAGGGAAATTGCATAATCCTGAGTGGATTCTCCAAGTTTGCCAGTCAACTACCCCCCAAAAACCTCTTTGTGAGTTAAATATTTATTTTTAGTCTATTTTTTCCCTAAGATATTGGAAATAAGTCATACTTCAGAAAAGAATGCCCAGTAATTTCAGATTCGTCCTTTTAATTTTGACTTGTTCGCTAACTCTATACCAAAATATTAAAGATTAATTTAATATGTGAACCAATTACTTCTATAAATTTACAAAAGACTTGCTAACTTAGTTTATATTGCCCAATATGTTTTCTATCCAATATGTTCACTCTAAGTCCACTTATTTTCATAAAATCCACTTTATTAATTGAAAAAAATAAGTCAATAACTTTTCTTGAAGTCAAAACTCCAAACAGGATCTATTATCAGCAGTATAGCTACTTTGATCAGTATTCAGTCTTTGCAAATGCTAAGAATAAGAATGTGGGTGTAATTGGGTGGCATGCATTTAATGCTAACTAGATGAAAATCCATCTATGGAACTAGCAGACAGGTGGATTTCGTGGAGTGTCTTTTTAGGTCCTTCTATTATAAACATTTTTTCAATCAGCTGATGGTTGATAAGGAGCTCTTTAACAACATGGATTATAAAACATTGCCCAAAGAACTGAAAAACGTATGCAAATTTGAGAACATAAAAATGTGTTTGGATTTGATACATTTTTTCAAATGAATGACTTGAATTGAGACTCAAATGTTCTGTATATGTTTATTTATAGGACAATCCATATATTTTATAAAGTATAGCATTAATAATATGATTTCACTTTAATATCTACAGCAGAATACATTGTCTGTATCTTATAGGTATCCAATATATATATATTTTTTTCTGATTCCCCACGTTTAATGGGGGAGAGAAACAATAGCCACAGCTATCCAAATTATTATAAAAAATTTGCTGAGATGCATTACACCAGACACAATATGCTCCAACCAATACTGCTAAAAAATTACATTCAATATTATTTAGACATACATGTAATGAAACTGCAAAAGGCATGATGAGTATCAACGAAAATTACTACATATGTAATTGGGCAAATTACTCGATGTATTACATGTCTTGGTCATACCTAGGTTAGAAAGCTATTTAGAGCGTGCTGCTTCAGCCACAGACTGTTTATTCCTCACATAATGCTAATCACAGTGATTGTGCCTGTCTCTGTTACGTCTGGCAAAGCAACGTGTAAGAAGTCAGCTCTGGCCAGGACAGCCAGTTGAACACACATGGCAACATGAAAAATTCTATTTAGCTAGGCTGCCTATTCCAGGCCCTTTACTAAGGTTCCCAAATCACTGGAAATAAAATTAAAATTTCAATGTCTGGGTATCTTTTAGTATTTCCCTATTTTAGTTTGATTAGTTTGATATTTGGAAAAAATAAAGCAAGTGATAATTTTTGTATTGTTTAAATACATTTTTTATTGTTTTTCTCCCCCCTTGCCATCACATTTTCATAATTTTACTTCCAAGAGAGACGGAATACGCATCAAGGAGCTACAGGGTTGGGGATCCTAGCTCACTTGGCATAACAAACATGATGCCCTTCAAGGCTTGCCATGTAGGCTTTACCCAGAGAAGAATGTGTGGCACTTCAGGGCATATCCTGGGCTTAGTAAAGTAGGGACCATATGCCTACCTAGCATTCTATTCTCGGGCTCTTGTTTCAGAATAATCTTTCATCTATACATGTCTCTCCAATAATATTCCCATTTAAGGATTAGCTTTTATGAGTTAAGGACAATTTCATACTGAGATGGAAGTTTTGTCAAATCTAAGCCCATTTTATAGCTACAAAAGCCAAGGCAGGCCGGGTGCAGTGGCTCATGCCTGTAATCCCAGCATTCTGGGAGGCCAAGGTGGGTGGATCACTTGAGGTCAGAAGTTCGAGACCAGCCTGGCCAACATGGAGAAACACCGTCTGTACTAAAAATACAAAAATTAGCTGGGTATGGTGGCACACACCTGGAATCCCAGCTACTCTGGGTAGCTGAGGCAGGAGAATTGCTTGAACCCCAGAGGTGGAGGTTTCAGTGAACAGAGATCGCGCCACTGCACTCCAGCCTTGGCAACACAGTGAGACTTGGTCAAAAAAATAAAATAAAACAAAATAAATAAATATTAAGGCAAAAGATTTCATTTATGTGAAGTCATGCAGTTAGCCACTTTGTGAAAAAAAACCATGATTCACCATCAATCACAGAGACCTAAAATATTCCTTTTGGGTGTTGCTGCTACTTGAAGTTGTTGCACTCCAAAGATGAAGGTTACATCCACTCAGAATTGAATGCTTAACATTATTTATTTAAGAATGCAATTTGTAGCCAACTGACTTTTTTAGAAATTAATAACCTACCTGAGTCAAAATTGGTCTTAAGCCTTTAAGAGTTGTACTGTGATTCTCCTTTGAATGACTTGCATTTATTGCCCTAATATTGAAGATCTGTTTAGTTGTAGTGTTACTTAGAGTACTTATGATATATAGCATAGCGTATTTCTAAAATGTTTTGTTTCTTTAATTCTAGCTATAAAAGGTTTTTTTTTTGTAATAAGTGACTAGAACATTTCAATTTTAATGTCTGTATACACTTTATAGTTTCATGTATTTATTGCCATAATGTAAACAGTCTACTGTAGAGTGTTACCTAGTTTTTTCCCATTGATTTCCTATCTAGTATGATACTGTGATTATATATTACTTGGTGTTTCTCTTTATTATTCCCCCGGATATTAACTGTGCTATTTTAAAGCATTTAATTTGATGGTGTGAACCCTAATCCCATCGCAGAGCACTTACCTATGTGTCACATTGTCATAATTTAGTCCCTAGTGTAAGTCTAGGGGGGTACTTGCTTTTATTTAAGAAATTCACTGCATGCTGAATTCATCATACTTTGGGAAAACAGATCCTTATTCATTCAGTGAACAGACCATGCAGATTTCTATGACATAGCACTGTGTTGGCCAAGGCTCTGTGGGAACAACTATCTATTGTAAAATGGTAGGAGGATAACTGTGAACTTCTTTTGTAACCAATAAAATTCAGAAATGGCACATTGTAACTCGGTTTGCAATTTTTTCCCAATATTTTCTTAAAGCTTTATGTATGGAAAGTGTCTTTGTTTTCACTCCATTTTGCATTTTGCCAAGAAAAAGTGACAAAACAGTACTTATCATCTTCCTTCAAAACATATGGCATGTGCCCACGGAATATTAAATGATCTTTTACAATGACAACAAATGTTGTGATATTTCATCTGAAACTCTCAGAATGTAAGGTTTCTTGAAGCAAGCAGGAAAAGCTAAAAGATGGTTCAGGAGGATTGGTTTGCTGGTAGAGATGGTGATGAAAACATATGCTACTTCAAATCTGAAGGAGTACTGCGTATATATGAATCTATAAGTGGGAGTGATAGAAAGTATATTATTTATTTGGACTTAAAGATCTTCAAGCAGATCCTATAGCCAGTTTAGTGTCCTCTGGGATGAAAGAGACCTGAAATTGAGTATACATGGTTGTCTTTTTTTCTGTTATCTTTCACTGTCAGCAGAACAATTTTCCAATGATCCCAGATTACTGAGAAGGGGGCTTCCTAATTTATTTTTCTCACAAACTTCTACCCAAGGGAGGAGGAGTCCTTTATTTGATCTGTAAGCATGGGAGAAGGACCCAGGCATGTGTAACTTGGTCTTTCCTTCTTATCTCTCTCAAATCTGCCTGCTCCAGTATGAATGTGTTTTGCTTTCCTCTTGCCCCCACGTGATGAACACACTATTTTAGGTCCAGACCTGCCTTCCAGAGGCTGATCTGCAGATCCATCCCTCTTGTTCCTCACTGTCAGGACTCTGCAGTGTTTTCCATTTTAGTCAGCCTGGTAAAAATATCTGCTCAGTAGACCCTGGCTCTTTCTTCAGTGGGTGGTCCCAAGGTCTAGACTGTAGGTGGGTGTAGGGTTTCAAGTAGAAGACCCTTGATTTTTGCCACATGTGAAGCCATATTTGCCCATACATTTTTTAACCAACAATAAAGCATACATTTTAATCTCTATCTGTTCATATTTGGAGTCTATCTCTTAGTTGGCTTAGAACTCAGAGGTAAAATGCATATTACCATTTACGATTCCTCAATACCCCAGCATGCATCATAAAGATTAAATGTTATTTGATATTCACATTCACATAAGCATTGAATGCCAAACTAACAGTCACAATTTTTTTTTTTTTTTTTTTTTTTTTTTTTGAGATGGAGTCTCGCTCTGTCGCCCAGGCTGGAGTGCAGTGGCGCGATCTCAGCTCACTGCAAGCTCCGCCTCCCGGGTTCACACCATTCTCCTGCCTCAGCCTCCAGAATAGCTGGTACTACAGGGGCCCGCCACCACTCCCGGCTAACTTTTTGTATTTTTTAGTAGAGACGGGGTTTCACCGTGTTAGCCAGGATGGTCTCGGTCTCTTGACCTCGTGATCTGCCCGCCTCGGTCTCCCAAAGTGCTGGGATTACAGGCGTGAGCCACCGCAACCAGCCAATAGTCACTATTAATAACAGATCCTGGAGAACAAGTTTTTATTCAGTGTCACAGCAGTCCTTCCATATTAATATTTGTTCAGATAGTTAAAACAAAACAGATAATATTTTTCAAGAAAATTCTAGCTTTAAGTATACTTTAAAATTGTAATATATCTTGTCTCACCTCTCTACTCCTTTATTAAAAAATATCAGTTGGGAAGTTTATAATGCTTAATGAAAGATAGAAGAAAGAAAATTTTGTGTTATATTAGTAATAAGATTATAAATAATAACAATATTATTGTATTAATATTATTAATATCTTAATATTAATATTAATTAATTTCATTAAATTTCTGTGGAAGTTAATATTCCATAGAGAAATCAGGTGTCTTTGGTGTAGTCCTCCTGGCCACTACTTCTGACTGACTACTTTGGCATTAACAGACTCAATATTTTTATTACTAAGCAAATGATGTCAAAAGCAAAAATCATTCTTTTGTTCATCAAATAATATACTGAGAAACTACCACATGCTAAGTATTTTTCTAGGTTCTGGGGTCACATTAGTGAAAATATAGACTGAAATCTAGAGACTTTATTCCCAAGGAAACTCACATTCTAGTGGTAGGGAAGATAGAGTAAATAATAACAAATATGCATTTTAGTGTTTTAGAAGGTGGTAAGTTTTAGGAAAAATAAGCAAAGCTGAGCACAGACTGCAATTTAAGTAGGCTGGTCAGGGTAGACCTCATTAAGGAGATATTTGATCAAAGACTTGAAAGAGGTAGGGAAGCAAGCCAGGTAGACATCAGTGAGAAAGACCATTCCAAGCAGATAGTACAGCCATTGTCAAGGCCCTGAGGAAGGGCTGTCTGTTGGTGTTTGAGGAATCAGGAGGAGGCCAGTGTGGCTAAGGAGAGGGAAGGACAAAGGTAGGGAAACAGGGAAGGAAAGAGGGAGGCAAGAGTGGTAGGAAATGTGACCAGAAAGAGAGATCAGATAGCAAATTATTGTGCCTTATAGGCACTGTGAGAATTGGAATTTTTCTCTGAGATAAATGGAAAGCCATTGGAAGAGTTGAGAGATGAATAACACCTAATGACATTGTTTAATAGGATTGTTCTGGCTGTTACGTTGAGAATAGACTTTTGGGAGACAAGAGTACAATTAGAGAGGATAGTTAGGAGGTCACCGTTACTAGTAAGGTGAGCAATAGTGGCAGCTAGAAAGTATGCTAGCGGTGGAGGTGGAGCAGTGGCTGGATTCTTCATATATAGTGAAAGTTTATCCAAAATGGTCTTCTGATGAACTGGATGTAAGGTATGAGCTAAAGAGTGGGGCAAGGATTGCTCCAGGGTTTTGGCCTAACTAGAAGGATGGATGTTTTATTTACTGAGATGGAAAACATGATGGGCAAAACATGTTGGGAGGGATAAAATCAGGAATATAGTTTCAGACCTCTTAAATTTGAAATGTTCGTTAGAAATCTAAGAGAAGACATTGAATATGCTATTGGATATGTGAGTCTGGAGTTCAGGGGAAAAGTCTAGGCTGGAGTCATAAATTTGGAAATTGTCAACATAGAGATGGTATTTAAAGCCTGTGTGGATTCCTGGACAGAACACTCTCAATGCCTGTAAAAAAGAGACATTCCAAAGTTCTCTGAAAGGTGAGCTTTTCTTTTTAGCCATGTTTGAGACTCCATAGAGGTTAACATTTTAAAAGGGAACCATTGAAAGATGAATGTTTACCTGCTGAAGTGACATTAAAAGAAAAAAAATGCCCTTCAGTATCATATGCGCCTTCACCTCTGCAGGTAAAATAAAAAGAATTCAGATAATCCAGAATTAATTTAGAGAATTCTGATTCAAGCAGGCACCAGTTTCCACCATCAGAAGTGCTTCAATTCTGTGTGACTTCTACATACCTTTATGTTTACGTTGCGTGTCACTTTGTGCTAGATTGGCTTGCAGACAAAATCACAGGTCTTGAAGCTTCCATGGCAGAAGAAAAAAAAAATGACTTTTCTGCCTAATAGTCATGCCTGCTTAATTTTTATACTCATTTTTTAAAATGGTACAAAGTAGTTATTAGATGCTATGCTACGGACCTGAAAGAGTTAGTTGACTTCTCCAAAGAGCCCAGTGTAATCCTAAGGAATTTCCACATTGGGAGAATCTGGCTCAAAATAACAACCTACACAAGACTTTCTGAGTCAGAAGACTATTTAAAGATGAGAGTGCTAAACACTAGTTCCAATAAATACTGTTAACTCTTTTGCATGTGAGCACACCACAATAGAAAGGGTGAAATAACTATCTTTAAATTACAAGGCAAGACGGGTGTGAGGAAGAAAATAAAAACTAGATTTTTGCCTGTAGGTTGTGTGGTCAGGTCCTTGTGACAGGACTCAGATGATGACAGTTGAATGACACTAGTTCTAACACTGTCAACCTGACTTTCCTTGTGATTTACCTCTTTGGCACAGAGTCAGGTAACATCATTACTCCTGAGAGATTGGCCACTATCAGAAGCCTTAGAAATACTGCATTGAGTTTTCAATACCCATCAAAAGAGAATACTAATGTTTTAAAATACATAAGACAAGATTTTTGCCAAATCTAAGCTTAACATAATTTTTCTTGAAGAAATTCTTTCTAAAAGAGTAATAAAAATATTTCCTGTTACTGTAACTGCCGTCTTTGATAGAGATTTGAGAATGCGAAACAGAAAGGTGAATATCAAGCACATGCTTCAGCACCTTTGGCCAGCATAAAGCCAAAGTTCAACAGCTTGAAAGAAGATCAGCGATATCACTGTGAGAGGTGAGGAGAGAGATATGGTCCATGCTTTTGGGGGTGTCCCTTGCTTTCCTATCCCTATAATCCAAACACAGACACTGTGACCTGTTTCTGTAGAGCATCTCCTCCATTTGCGGGGTTTGATCTGAGCTTGGTGGGAGAGCTGAGGTCTCGGTCGATGGAAACTGAAAGAGTACTGGGCACGAGTCCTGGCAACAGATTGCCCCTTCCCACTGAGCTTTCAGCCACACATGCACACTATTTGAGTGCATATCACTGGTGAGCTGGGGATCTGTTCCTTCAGAAAGCACAATCTGGGAACAACTTTTCTCATTTACATAGAGTAGAGGGAATACTAACTAAATCTGTAATTCTGCTAGATATCCTTCCATCTTCATGGTCTGAGCTTTAACCAGGTAGAGAGATGGAGGGAGGGAGGAGGGAAGGATGCCGAGTCAGGAGGCTGAGGTTCCTTCCTTCCAGCTCATAGAACTCTGGGTTTAAGAGGAGGTAGGCAGTGAGTTTTAGTTGACTCACTTGCTCATTATTTAAAATGGTTTAGTTTAGAATTGGGTACCCTTGTGTTTTGGGTCCCCTGTTAAAGCTTAAAGAAATTATTTCTAATGTCCATGGAATTCTGTTTTCTAAAGAAACAGCCTGCTGAGGAGTTGTATAAGAAAAGAAGGCACCTTTACGGCCCCACTTCTGGCATACTGTACTAGGGCCTGGATGTATTTGATTAAATTTGCCTTAATGGGTCACGAAGGTGCCCCTCAGGTCCTCTGGGGTAACGTTAGGAATACAGCAGCCTTTGGAAACTGCTACCAAGTGAATAAAGGGTTGATCTGATTTTTTTAAAAAGCACTCATTTGCTCTCTCCAGACCTCACATGTTTGTTAAATTGGGAAAGCTCAGCAGGTGGTGTGTCTGAAATCTTTTTTTTTTTTTCTTCTTTTTCTTTTGCACTTGATACTTGAAACTGACACAAAGACAACTGAAGCTGCTCGGTCAAATTTCCTGTCTCAAAACAGAGCGCTGCTTCTCTTCAAGAGAATGAACCCTTAGCTGATGTGATGCAGGATAATTGCTCTCTAAGTAGTCCGGCTCCCTCTCCTTGAAGGAGATTTTAGTTAAAAGGCCCTGTGGTCTGTGCCTCTAGCTACCGAAAAACTCTCACCTACTTTTAGTACGAGTGGAACCTGCCTGAAGGAAAACATGAAGTATTCTTCTAATTAATGATTGAATGCACTTGCCTCTCTGTAGAAAGAGAATAGGCACTAGCCTTCCCACAGTGAGTATTTACTCACATTCCTATCTGCATCTTCTTTCCTCTGTGGGAGCCCAGCCCAAGGTCACCTTCAGTGCTTGTCATGTGGATCAGCTGACATCCTCCTACTCTGTCTCACAAGTAGCTTTTGGCTGACTGAGGACTCTGAAACTCCTAGTCTAGGCTATTTGGCTCTCCTGGTTTATGGTGCTTCATACTTTCCAGTTGGGTCCTTTGCCTTCTGCTTTTGTGCGACCTGCTCACTCTCTTCAGCTGTATTTATCTGCTGCTTCTTCCCCAGGCTAAGTAATCTACATCTCATAGTGCAGTGCAGCTCTTAGAGATGAAATGACCTGCATCCATGCCTTGGTCTATGTTTTTCCAGCATTCAAATTAAAATGAAAGCCATCCTTCTCCATGGAGCCTTCGATAATATTACAAAGCCTCCTCTGATCTATTTAATCCTATCTCACCAGGAACTTGTATCTGAAGTCCACTGACTCCTCCTGTTTTCTCCCTGAATCCCAGAGGTCTCCCTATCAGCATACTCCTCACGCTGGCAGCTCTGGGTGATGAGGAGAGACATGATGATGGTGATTATACCTCTTGTTTTTCTCTCCAGGACCCTACACAATCCCTGGCAATAAATGTTTCTTGAATAGATGAAGATATAGATTGTCCTTCTTTATGCCTTAGGTTAAAATCAGAGGATCTAAGCAGAGACTTTGGAGGAGGAGATGGGACTGAGCGCTGCAGATGGGAGAGGTGGCCTGCAACCCAAGCCAGTTTTCTCTTGTCCATCTTCTGTTCTGTCACTACATATGCCACCCTGGGTTGTCACTGGAACTAGAGTCAGGGATTAGAAAGGAAGAGGGAGGAAGGCAGGGAAATCTTTTGGGGAGAGAGGAAAGGAAGGAGATTTTCTTGGCAGCCACTCAGGGTGTATGGAAGGTGAGTTTACACAGGAGCTACTTGCTTCTAGAATGCTCACAGATGGGAGGCCTTAATTCCACCAGATGCAAGCCATAGCCCATTGCTGGGGTCCTCCCCTCACTCCTTCCTCACAAAGCTCTGCTCTGTGTGAGATTACGTCTACCTTTCTGGTGCTGTGTTCCCTTCACACAAAGGCCACAATTTCCCTGAGACAGGATAGATCTGAGATATATACAACCTTTGACAACTGTCTCCTTTCGGGGAGATTTCAGTACTCTCCAAGTATTAACATTCTTAGCCTTTCTGAGCCTGGGAATTTTCTTAATCCAACACAAGCCAATGGGTGGTCCTTAACAGCCCCTCCCATTTGAACACACTGGGTTTCAGCAAATCTTACTGTTAAGTGAGGTTAGAAGGGTGAGGCTAGAAGGAAGTACAATGCATTTTGGCTATTACCTTCTCTAGACTGAACTTTTCATAGGAAAGAAACAGAATTTATTGATTACTAAAAGTTGAGGTAATTTGAGCCTTGTGTTTTGAATTCATACAGTGGAAGTTTTATTTTAAGAAAAGGAAAAAAATTCCTACTTACATATTTGAGCATTGCAAGAACTCATTTCATGTTTATAATTGTTAAATTAAAAAAAATTGAATGAACCTTTCAAAGTGAGTAATTTTTTATTTGAATTCTACATCCTTATGTATTATGTAACAATTAGTAATGATGTGATGGATAATTTTCTTTGGAACAGTTCCTGATTCCATTACTCAACTACTCAATCGACCAGTAATTATGAATCATATCTTTAATTAGCTGCTGCTCTTCAGAAACATATGAAAGCCAAGGGCATAAAGTAATTGGCATAAAAGTTTTCCTAATTAATTTATCTGTCCGTGTAAGTAACCAGGGCTAGAGTCTGGGGATCATTTATAACTCCAGGAAGGCCGGCCCTAAAACTCACTGTTGAAGGAGATTTATATTTGTGAATTATAAAAAGACAACAAGCCACAAAATTGCATTATCCCCAAACTCTAACAATGCAGCCTATAATGTGCTGTTCAGAGATGAGCAAAAAGTTCCTATTGATCCAATTCATTTTCATCATATCCTCCAGTGAATCTTTCAAATCTCTCTTGCCTTTTCCTCATTCAACATTGTAACAGTAATCAAGCACATTAAGCAATTCATTAAACAACAGGCCCGCTGACCACAGGGAGTACTGCAGCTAACATTCATTAGGCAGCCAATAACTTTATTTAAGTAGCAAAGGGCTTGGGAGTAAAAACCAACTCCTTTGTCTCTCTCTACGGAAAAGCACGTTTCAGCAATGATCAAGGTGTACACCCTCTGGCCCACAAAGGTACTTTCAAATGAAGATATATCTCCACATAAAGCAAAATTAAGGTAGGATTAAGGTGTTCTGATTATATTCTCTCCTTGACAAAATGGCAGTATAAGACTTAGATCACTGCTAAGCATGTCTATGGAAGATTTATGCCTAGTGTGGAAATGGAATGTTCAAATATTGATATTTTGATGCCAGATTTTCAGATCTGACTTTCAAAATGCCAAATAACATGGGAGCTAGGATGGTTGTGTGGCTTCAGAGAACCTGGGCTGGCTTTGTGTGGTTGATAAAAGAGATGGATGCGTTTTCTTTCTTCACAACAGAAAAAGAACTGAAGTAACAAAGCAAGCAGCACAAATTGTTTCTTCAAACCATAATTAGAGGTATCCTAGACAAGCTGTACTAGTTCCTCTGAGGTCTGGGAGGAGTCCTAGGAAGAAGGAGGTGACTGGGAAGTGTCACTGAAACTGTGCTTTTCAGAGAGGCACCTGGCCAGTGCCCCGGGGCCTGCACCTCTCACACAGCTGTTCTGCACTTTTCTTTAGCAGGTGAACTTTGTTTTAATGGAGCAACTTGAGACCATTGTTATGTAGGCTAAGTTTTCATAAATAACACTATCCATGATTTGAAGAAACTATTTTCAGAAAAGATTATTTTCTTCCTGGAGGGGACCAGAGGAAAACCCTTTTCATGAAGCATTATTTTATTGCCTGAAGAGTGTGTAAAGGAAATATATGAGAGTCTCATTTATAAAACTTTCTCTCTTCCACCTTTAAATAGTGGGCTATGTGTCTAAATTAACCATTATTTGATAAATTTTCTTCTTAAATAATGAAATACTCTCTTCTTCTAAACCTTTCATTTCATAGGAAAGGTGTTGGCATCATTCTTTCTAGCCTATATCTATAGAGTAAGCTACTGACATTATGCTCAGTAAGTAAAATTGTCTTCGTATTAGGCTCTACTTTGCAGTACAGCTGATAAAAGCAGGCTGCATAGCAAAATTAAATGTGTGATTTCCTTCTCCTCCCTGCCATGTTGGAGATGTGGGTTTGGAATGGGGCTCCTCCCCTGCTTGAGTAACATCTGAGATTATTCTCTGAGCTTCTGAGAAGGGAGATTATACATGAGGCATGAAGTAGAGAAAGACCCTGAGTTAGAGCAGAGGAATGGGAGGTCTTGAAGGCCAATGTTAGGAGCTGGGTGCGAATAAACCACCAGAGTTAAAAAACCATTCTAGTAAACAGTAAGGATTTAACATTATTACCTTTAAGAAAGTGTTTAAAAGAAAATTAACAAATGCAAATTTTACTGCCTCATGGGTTAACAACAAAGTCAATTTTGTATCCTTAAAACATTCACTTTGTATACATTTTGAACCATTGAATCCTACTTTTTGGTCCTAATGACCATATACAGGATTTTATGTTTCAAAATGGAGCAAGTTTTTGTGTCTCCTCAGTTGTACCACCTGTGCTGCTACATTCAGGCTATGGCTGAGGGCAAAGGAGAAGAAGATAAAGGAATTGTAGTTTATCAAAGGCAATATTGCTGAGGACATAGAGATCAGAGTGAAATGTGGCTTTGCCTGAGATTTAAATCCCCTTTAACCATGAGCAGTTGTGGTTGAATTCATTTTTAATGCCAGTATGTTGAATATAGTCATATTCTTTCTCTGGGTAATTCCATGGTGTTATGTTACTTTTTGGCCTTAATGTTTACAAATATCACACATAGGGATGGTCAAAATTTCTTTTGAAAGAATAAATTTTAAAAAGCCAACCTTTGGTGACATTTTACCTTTATCCTGCTTAATAATAGAAAAAGCTAACATTGTTTGAATGCATAATAAGCGTTATACATTCCAGGCACTGTGACAACAGCTTTGCAGGTAGTATTTCATTTAATTCTTTCAATTATAGAGTGAGGCAAGTATTATTATTTTTTCTGTTTTATAATTTATAAATTTGGGGATTAGAGGATTTGTATGACTTGTCCAAGGTCCAGTGGTAACTAGAGCTGGCTAGTATTAGCTTAAGAACACCAGTTATACTTATCTCTTCTCAGCTTCCATGTTTAGTGACTTCATGGTGGTTTAGTGGGAGCTGGCTATAGTGGGAGCATTTACACCATGGAAATAAGCAAATGCTACAAATGTGGATCCCCTGCATCCCAAAAGGCAGTTTCTAAACATTTACTAGCACAGTGCATCCATGATCATGCAGGTAGTAAATGGGAGGGCCAGAATTTGAAACTGAGTTTGCTTTACTTTAGAGCCCATAATTTTTAGTAGTATATTAAGCTGCCTCACTGAATTATCACTCAGTTAATGACATTTACTGAACACTTTTTTTCCATACAAAGTCTGTATTTAATGTTTTACCGTTAATTTTTTAAAATCTGAGTTTATTTGGGAAGACCAAACATCAAACTGGGACATTTAAGGACATCCAGCCAGCTATACGCTCTTGCAATCTGGCCAGATGAGGTGGCAGGGCCAACTGTCTTTAACAGTCCTTGCTTCCCCTGCCATAGGTTCAGAGGAATAGATGAGGTGGTTATTTTTCAAACTTTTCCCCTAGATGTTGACAAGCTAGGCAAATTGCAGAGAAAAGGATTGTTGGATTTACTGCAGTGGAAAATACTAAAACCAAAACAGAGGTACAGACATAGATTAGACATCTCCTATGTGCAATGACAGATACCAGCCACAGCAGGGGTAATAAAAAGGAATAAAAGGAAACTGTTAAATTTTTATTTTGTGGATGTGTTATAAGTATTGTAGTTATGTTTAAATGATTCCTTTTCTTTTGAGATA